>NT_187383.1:1417513-1625402 GCF_000001405.40 Homo sapiens | reverse complement strand
GATCAAAGATTAACTTAAACCTAAGTAGACAATGTTTTTGTTAAAATACAAAGATTGGCAAAATTAAAAAAGTCCATCTCTATCATAGTTACAAGAGAGGTAACTAATATATTAATTTACAGAAACTTTGAAGTTCAAACAATACAGATACTGTGTATATATGATATACATACAAACATACTACATGAATATAATTTTTTAAAAACTTGCTATGTAGACAAAATAGAATGTAAGTTAGAAACATTTATTAAAATAAGTTAGTCTAACCAGTGTGATAAAAGATTTAAGTTATTAAGACGATGTGATGACTTAAATGTGCATTAGCCTGATACATACATACATATATACACACACACCACACACTCACACATATACGTATTTAGAGAGAGAGTCAAATTATATAAAGCAAAAATATCAGAAAGTAAGTAGAAATGGATAAGCCCCCAAATCATTATAGACTTTTGAAACACACATCTTTCAGTAATAGATAAAAGAAAAAATTAAAAGAGTAAGTTTTAAAAGAAGCTAGTGGATTTTAAAAAGGGCAAATGTTATATAAGGAACATGAATATTATAATTCATGTTATTTTCATGTTCATACAGAATACTTACAAAAATTAACATTTTCTAGACCATACCACAAATTCAAACAATTTTCACGAAAATAACGTGACACAGAATATATTTCCTAAACAAACAGCAATGAAGGTAGATATCAATACAAAAAAGAAAGCTAGAAACATAGGTCTAATAATATTGGCTGGAAGCTATTTTAATGAATATTGAAATATTTTAAAGGTGAATAGTCAATACAAATGAACCAAACACTTTTGTAAGGCCACTAAGATGCATGTGTAATGTGTAATGCCTCCTTTTATAAGGAGTAAATCTGTAACATCACCTGGGCTATTTGACAACTGCAAAGTGAATATGAGAAGGAGAGAAACAGTGAGAGAGAGAGAGATAAAACCAGTAAAATAAACATAAAGAATGAAGGAAATAGCCAGGTGCCATGGTTCACGCCTGTAATCCCAGCACTTTGGGAGGCCGAGGCAGGTGGATCACCTGAGGTCAGGAGTTCGAGACCAGCCTGGTCCAACATGGTGAAACCCATTCTCTACTAAATATACAAAAATTAGCCTGGCATTGTGGCATGCACCTGTAATCCCAGCTACTCGGGAGGCTGAGGTGGGAGAATTGCTTGAACGTGGCGGGTGGAGGTTGCAGTGAGTAGAGATCACGCCACTGCACTCCAGCTTGGGCGACAGAGCAAGACTCCATCTCAAAAAAAAAAAAAAAAAAAAAAAGGAGGAACCAGTACATGAAAAAGCAGTATTAAAGCAACTGAGTATATATTTAAAAACGCAAAAGCTCACTTTTTCAGAAAAATATTAAAATATTAAATCTAACAAATATCTAGGTAGACTGATGGAGAAAAATACAGAAAATGCACAAAAAACCAATTACCTGGAATGCGAAGGTTACAAAACGTCAGCAGTTGTAAATTTCAAATAAGCAATGACTTTGAGTTCAACCATGATGGGGTATATTGAAAAGAATCTCTCAGAAAAAAAAGAAAAAGAAAACTGTTATAAAGCTATGTACAAAATGTTAAGCACTATTAAAGCCTTCCAATTCTACCAGTTATGGAGTTATTGGTTTTGGATTAACTATCCTGAAAAAAAAAAAAAAAGAAAACAAACAAAAAAAAAACTAAAAACCTGGATAAAATAGCCTACCGTGGGCACTGGCAATGCAACCAAGCAGGTAGGACATGGGTGCTACATTCTCTTTGTCAGAACACAAAGCATTCATACACTCTTCTCACCCTCACTCTCACCTTTTAATCTTAGATCTACTATTAAATGTTTTCAACATTACTATCAATCCTTTGGTCAAAATTTCTTTACTCACATTTTGCTTGATGCACTTGGATAGACTGTTCAAGAAAGTGTGAGTAGTGAATTCCTCAAACTCTTGCATATTTAAAATTACATTTTTGAACCTTGATGCTTGAAGTGTAGCTTGGGTAATGGGTGGGCTTTAAGCCAATTTTGGCATGCAAGGGGTTGAGTTTATTAGGCATCAGCACCTCTGAAAATTGTGGGGATGCAGGCTTAATTTCAACACTTGAAAGATATTATATAATTCTTTAATAAACTCCTGTGTCTACAAATCGTTCGCATTAACTCAATATCCATGATTAAACATCTATAAAATCAAGGCACTCTTATTTAGTGGAGACTTGCTGGCTATTCTATGAGAGGAGGTATTGTTATTGTAATCTCATCCTCTCAAAAAGTGTATCATATTACTCATAACCAGCCCTTCATATTCTATTCCTATTTTGGTATTTTAAAATAAGATATCTTTGAAACACTTCAATTCAAAGAGGGAATCTGAATAGTTTTTAAAATGTCAATGAAATGCCATTTCTTCATGCTTGAACAAATAAAAATCGACTAAAGTGCTTCTCTTCAAACTTTCTGGAACATTTTTTATCTAAATTCTAAGAACAATCACAATAGGTTTTAACCACAAATGTGAGAATATTCTAAATGTTAGGGTGGAAAAATTTTTTAAATAATTTTATAGTAATTTTTTCATCATAGTGACAGTGTGCTAAATTTTTTTAAGTCAAATATTACTGTGGACATTTAAGTCAAGATTCTAAGAAGCTGTTCTAAAGTCCAAAATTTAGTTTCATATACAGTGATGTTATATATATATTTGCATATAAAATTAATATATGTGAGCCATGTTTCAAATGCTTGAGAGATCATTATATCAAAGATTCTTGATTATATAAAATGCCAATTACTTATAGGCACACATGCTTTAAATAATTACAAAGGCAGTTGTGGTTGATTCTACTCTTGCTACTGGCATTTATATGGACATCATATTATGGTCTGAAGAATGTTTAGGCAAATTTATCCCTCATATGATCAGAAGAACAATGCAAGATAGTTTATATCTGAAAGGAAAAAAATCTTTATATGGTTCTGAAAGCCTAAATCATTAACAACTTGGATAATAATTAGCATAAAAATACACAAACATGCCCTCTTCCTAGCAGTAAATACACAGTGACAACAGAATCAAAGCATGTGGCTATGTGCATGTTTATATTTCAAGACGCAGAGCACTCTATTCCTCTTCTCTGCCCTTTCTAGTTGGCACAATTCCTCATGAATCTAAGTGCAGTCATAGGGTGGATTAGAGTGACCTGCCATTTGTATGCAACTGATCTCTATTTTGGAAGTAATTAAAGTAAAAATATATTTTTAAAAGATAATTTCAAATTTCAGTGCAAACTAGCATGGATTCACCCCTTTTCTTTGTAACATTTTTTCTAAGGTTGGAAAAGTAAGGTAGGCTTTAGTACGATTTTTAATAATAAGTTTTCAAAGTGAGATGCAAAATGGTGGCGCCAACACATTTCAAATCTGCTACATTTTGAATACACTTATTGGAGAAAAGACCTTCTCATCATTTTTCTCTTACAGGAAAGGAAATAACAAGTACAGTTGACCCTTAAGCAACACGGAGGTTGGGGCGCTGGCCCCACTGCACAGTAGAAAATCCACTATAACTTTGACTCCCCCAAAACTTAACTACTAATAGCCTACTGTAAGCCTTACAAATAACACAAGCAGTCAATTAACACATATTTAATATGTTATATGTCTTATATACTGTATTCTTAACAAACATGCCAGAGAAAAGAAAAAGAAAATCATAAGGAAAATATATTTACTAGTTATTAAATGGAAGTAGATGATCAGACAGGTCTTCATCCTCATCCTTTTCCTGGGCAGGGTGTGGAGAAAGATGTAGAATTGTTGGTTTTGCTAAGTGGACCTGCACAGTTCAAACCCCTGTGGTGTAAAGGCCAACTGTATAGCCATTGAATAGCAATTTATTTTTAGAAATTAACCTCACTAAAATACTCTTAGAAGGATGCCAAGAAAAAAAATGAATAAGTATTTTTGGTTCATCTATTTCATCATTTCATTTCATCATTTCATTTCATTTCATTTCATCATTTCATCTTTTCATTTCATCATTTCATCTCATCATTTCATCATTTCATCATTTCATCACATTTCATTTCATCATTTCACTTCATCTCATTTATTCATTTCATCTTATGATTTCATTTCATCTCATCATTTCATCTTTTCATCTCGTCATTTCATCTTTTCATCTCATTGCATTTCATTTCATCATTTCATCAATTCATTTCATTTCATTTATTTCATCATTTCATTTCACCATTTCATCATTTCATCATTTGACTTCATTTCATCATTTCATAACATCATTTCATCACTTCATCTTTTCATTTCATCATTTCACTTCATAATTTCATCATTTCATTTCCTCATTTCATTTCATTTCATCCTTTCATCATTTCATCTCATCATTTCATCCTTTCATTTCATTATTTCATTTCATCATTTCATCTCATCGTTTGCATTTCGTCACTTCATTTCATTTCATCATTTCACTTCATCTCATCATTTCATCATTTCATCTCATGATTTCATTTCATCTCATTTCATCTTTTCATCTCGTCATTTCATTTCATCATTTCATTTCATCTATTCATCATTTCATCATTTCATTTCATTATTTCATCATTTAATCATTTCACTTCATTTCATCATTTGATTTCATTTCATCATTTCATATAATTTCATTTCATCATTTGATCTTTTCATCATTTCATTTCATTTCACTTCATTTCATTTCATCATTTCATTTCACCATTTCATTTCATCATTTCATCATTTCATCATTTCCTTATTTCATTTCATCATTTCATCTCATCATTTCATCATTTCACTTCATCTCATCATTTCATCATTTCACTTCATCTCATTTCATCATTTCATCTCGATTTCATTTCATCTCATCATTTCATCTCATGATTTCATTTCATCTCATCATTTCATCTCATGATTTCATTTCATCTCATCAATTCATTTCACCTTTTCATGTCCTCATTTCATTATTTCATTTCATCTTTTCATCTCGTCATTCATTTCATCATTTCAATTCATCATTTCATTTCCTCATTTCATCATTTCACTTCATCATTTCATTCCATCATTTCATATCATTTCTTCATTTCACCATTTCATCATTTCATTTCATTTCATCATTTCACTTCATTTCATTTCATTTCATTCCATTTCATTTCTTCATTTCATCATTTCATTTCATCATTTAATTTCATTTCATCATTTCATCATTTCATTTCATTTCAGTGATACATGTATTTAAGTGCTAATGCGATGCCCAGGAGACACCCTATTTCCTTGTAAAACACCTCCTTCAACAAAAGGCAACCTCTCATGGCTGGCTAAGTCTACAGGGATACCAGCCTCTCTTCAACCACCCAATTTGATTTAGAACCTCAAAGAGCACCTCAGTTTCATAAAAACCTAAAACATAAACACAACACTTGGTTGTAAGTGAGGCAACAGTTTCTTGTCTCTTTCTCTGCTCAAGGCTTAAGGCCATGTCTCCCCAACTACGTTCAGTGGAAGAAAAGATCCCCTGGACAAATAAGTTTGAGAACTGTTGTTGCAGGACTTCTCAGAACCTTTAAAACACAAATCCTCATCTGCAGGGATTTTCAGGAGGGAGACAGCTGATGCAGCACAACTTTCTTTCACAGGAGCATCTTGCAGAATACAGTATGAGATACAGAAAGGCTGCATTGAGTCTTTTTAAGGGCCCGGGCCTTGGTGGGGGTGGGGTAGGAGCTCTCCAGATAGCATCTAATGAGTAGGAACATTCAGGTGGCTTTTTTTTCTCCTTATTGGCAAAACTGTGTGTGCACCATGAACGAAGCTGGTCTCCCTTATCCATATCAAAACTAAACCCAAATTAATTGGCTAAATTGGGACTCAACACCTCCAGGAGCCATGCAGAAGAAAGCCCCACCACACTTTAAAGTAGCTTACCTCATCATATTTGAGGAAAGCAAAATGCTTATGACCAGTATGCTGCTAATACAAGTCTACAGATAATGCTGTAGGAAAAATTATTTTTCCCAATCATAGCTGGCATAGTCCACAGTTTGCATTACACTTTCCCCCCTTTTTTTAAATTTGAAACACAGGTCTTTTCCTCTTCTTTTATTAAATTTTAATTTAATTATACAAGACAGAGTCTCAGTATGTTGCCCAGGCTGGTCTTCAACTCCTGAGCTCAAGCGATACAGCTGTCTCTGCCTCCCAAAGTGCTGAGATTACAGGCCTGAGACACTGTGCCCGGCCTTAAACACAAATCTTAATTCATTCTTACAATTATCCTGAGGTTAGAAAAATGGAAGGGGAAGAAAAATGGCAAGCAGGTAGGCTGACTTCAGCTTCATTATTTGGAAGGACAGTTTGCTCGGTTAAAACACACTACTGCCCACAAAGGCCAAGACAACAGAAAAATACAGACTTATATAAATAGATTTTATATGTGACAGCAGTTTAAATGGAGACTTTTTCAATGAAAATGACAAACAGCTGTGCTTGGGAATAAATGACAACGAATTTTTTATCTCAATAGCTGTCCTGAAAGCATGTCTCTACATCTCTACCTGCATTCTGGAATCAGGGAGAAAGCCAAAATGGACGACAAGACACTAGATCAGCTGTGTCCAACCCTTTGACTACAAGGACTTTTCCACCTATCTGTGATGGTGGGTATCATGAAAATTATGCACAAACCTTTTTTTTTTTTTAAGCTCATCAGCTATCGTTAGCATTAGTGTATTTTATGTGCGGCCTAGGAGCATTCTTCTTCCAATGTGGCCCTGAGAAGCCAAAAGACTGGACACCTGTGCACTAGATCAAAAGGCTACTCCTTCTGGAAGCAATTGTAAAGAATTTCTGACATTATCTAGACATGAAAACCAATGGATAGTGAGACAGAATGCAAAATCTTCAAGAATTTTTCTTGTTGGTTTTTTTTTTTTTTGCGTCAAGGTCTTGCTCTGTGGCCCAGACTGGAGTACACTGGTGAGATCACAGCTCAGTGCAGGCTCAAGTGCTCCTCCCGCCTCAGCCACAGTAGTACCTGGAACTACAGATGCGCACAACCACCCCTGGATAATATTTTATTTTTTGTAGAGACGGGGTCTCACTATATTGTCCAGGTTGTTCTCAAACTCCTTGACTCAAGGGATCCAGGACAAGATAACAGGTGTGAGCCACCCCACCTGGCCATGTGCAGGAATTTTAAGACAAACACAAGGCCCCACAAAAGTTAAGGTTTTCCCACCTAATTTCCAGGGGATCTTTTGGTGCAAGGATGAGAAGCCCTTAAAAGTACACAGACAACTCCAAAGATTCAAGACAGTTCATTCGGGCTGAGCCAGCCCACTGGGCAGACTGACCTTCAAAAAAGGCCCACCCATGACATACACCAGATGGCTCTCCAAGAATCTCTCCAGTCCTCAGGGTCCCTAAGGTACTGGACAGAGCTAGGAAAGCAAGCCTATTTGCTTTTTCCTGCAAGAAACCCCTTGAGGTCAAGACCCCACAATCAGACGAGGATGGAGTGGCTCACCCTCAGTCAACATGCCAGATTCAAGGTGGTATAATGTCTTAACCAAGCGTGTGGGCCTCCAGGTCTGACTCCCAACTCAGTTCTCCTTTAATAACCACTCTTTGTTAATTCTCCTTAACAGGGGTTCCTGGCAAGTCAGTTCTCCCTCAGGCCTTCGGTTTCCTCACCTACAAGATGAGAGGGCTGGACCAGATGGAAATTCGGGGGGGGGGGGGGGTAAGGGGATGTCCGCGCGCAGCCCACCCCACCCATGGGCCCCTCGAGCCTCTATCCCAGTTCCGACCACGCACCCGCCCCAGAAATCCTGCCCAAGGTGAGGGCTGGACCCGGGTCCTCCGGCTGCCGCATCAGCAAGTGCAGGAGGGAGAAGCCTCCAACCGGGCGACTCGAGCTCAAGGATGCAACTCCGCCAGAAGTGAACTAGGGCCCGGAGGGAGGTGTCCGGGCCGCTCCTCGAGCCCAGCCGGGGTCCACACACCCCTTACCTCCAGGGTCCGTATCTCCTGCTGGGTGAGGTCGTTGGACACAGCGCACTTGGTGCGCAGCCCGCGCAGGCTGCCGATGAGGTTCTGGAGCTGCCCGCACTGCTGCAGCGCCCGGCTGGCCGCCGCCCCTGCGCCTCCCACCGCGGCCGGCGCATCACCCCCGCCACCGCCCTCCTTCTTCTCTCACATCGCGGCCGCGCGGAGCGCCGCTCTATGCAGGCCGCAGCGGCCAAGGCGGGGAGCCCGGGGCGCCGGCGCGTAGGCAAGGGACCCCCGAGCCGGGAGAGCTGGACCAGGAGCGCCCCTCAGCGCTGCCCGAGCCAGGACGCCGGTAGAGCTGGCAGCCGAGTGTGCCGCTCCCGCCCTCAGAGCCGCGGCGGGCAAAAAGCTGCGGCGTCGGGGGCAAAAAGGCGCGGCGTCGGGGGCAAAGAGCCGCGACGGCAAAAACCCGCGGCGGCGGGGGCAAAAAGCCGCGGGGGCAAAAGCCACAAAAAGCCGCGGCGGCGGGGGCAAAAAGCCGCGCCGGCAAAAAACAGCGGCGGCGGGGGCAACAAGCCGCAAAAAGCCGCGGCGGCGGGGGCAAAAAACCGCGGCGGCGGCGGGGGCAAAAAACCGCGGCGGGGGCGGCGGCAAAAGCGGCGGCGGCGGGGATGGAGGCAAAAAGCCGGGGCGGCGGCGACGGCGGCAAAAGGCGGCGGCGGCAGAAAGCGGCGGCGGCGGCAGAAAGCTGCGGCAAAAAGGGGCGGCGGCAGAAAGCGGCGGCAAAAAGCCGCGGCTGCGGGAGCAAAAATATATGTATAGACATATATATTTTATATGCAGTCTTGCTTTGTCACCCAGGCTGGAGTGCAGTGGCGCGATGTCAGCTCACTGCAACTTCCACCTCCTGGGTTCATGCAATTCTCCTGTGTAGCTGGGATTACAGGCATGCGCCAGCATGCCTGGCTAATGTTTGTGTTTTTATAGAGACGGGGTTTCGCCATGTTGGCCAGGCTGGTCTCGAACTCCTGACCTCCAGTGATCTGCCCGCCTCACCCTCTCAAAGTGCTGGGATTACAGGCGTGGGCCACTGCGCCTGGCCCCATATTTGGCTTTTTAAAAACCTGTCTGTATTGTCTACAGGCTGGGCAGATCTGTCAGGGAGGTCTTGGCTGGGAGATGGAAACGATGCAAGGGAGAGGGAGAGGCTGACACAGCCAGCTGGACGGGCGGGCAGGGGAGGGGAGCCGTGGGAGCCGGCTGGGAGCCTGCCACACTCCCCTCCTCCTGAAGCCTTTTGGGGTTGCTGCCCTGCCTGTGGCCACGGGTTTAAGGACCCCCCTGGTCATTTTTCTTTGTCCCAGATCTGTTGCTACCAACGGTGAGGTATTCCTAATGTTCCCCTTGGCTGTGTCCTGTGCATGGAGCAAGGACCTCTCCCCTTTTTCCTGCACGACAGGGCTCTGTGCCACCTATTTTCTCAGGCCCTCCCACCCCCAGGCCCCATCCTGGGTTAGTACTCACCGGTGACCAGGGTGAAGTGGCAGGGGCTGGTCATGGTGACAAAGGCGGGGGTCATGTAGCGTGCCTTCACCCCGTCTCGGGCCATGGCGTCCAGGTTGGGGGTGTCCACGTCCTGCTCGTAGTTCCAGCGGAAGCTGTCGAAGGACACCAGGAGCAGCTTGTTCCGGGAGCCCTGACTTTGTACCGGTGCCCCGGCCCTGGGAGCCAGGAGCGTGGGCAGAGCCACAGTGAGGAGGACGGTCGGGCCTCTCATGCTGGGCCTTCCAGATGGACAGGCACACAGGGTGCACAGGGCTGGCTCCTGCCGAAGAGGGCAAAGTCCCAGGGTCACCTGGGCTGATCTCATCCCGTGTGTCTTTGGAATGTGGCTGTGCACATCCCCGGGTCATACTTCGGGAGTGGGCTCCCCAGCCGTGTCAGTGCCACTCCTGGACCCAGCCTCAAGTGCGTGGGACGGCATCAACTTGAGCATCTGCCTTTATTGCCAGCCGCGCCCTTGGGGCTCCAGGCTCCTCTCCTCCCTCCCCAGAGTGCGGACAGTGACCCAGGGCTCAGAGCACAGCAGGAGCCCATTCTACCGGGAAAGTTGTGCCTTCTCCCTCTCCCATAGCAACCGGTGGTCCCTTTGTCCCAGCTTACCCTGACCCCAGGGGACCCAGGTGAGGCTGCGGTGGGACCCCCTCTCCAGGCCTTTAGCGGTGCATGGGCCTCAGGCCTGCCTGGGTGAGGGCCTGTGGGGTGGGCTTCCCACGGTCAGGGCCAGGACCAAGCCTGGGTCACAGCATGGCCTTGTCCGGGGGGAACCCCAGGCTGGGTGTCTTTTCTCCTCCTGCTCCTGTTAAGGGGCTCCTTGAGTGTGGTGAGCAGACCGGGAACCCGATGGCTCCAGAGCAGCGTCCTGCGCGCCTTCCTTCTTGGGGTGCTTCCTTCTTGGGAATTTCAGAGGGGGCCTGGGGCTCGGGCGTTCTTGCTTGATGGACTTTTTGACAACAAGGGGTCAGAAGAGGGGGACTCCCTTGTTACCATGGGCACATGAGGGGTGGGAGAGGAACCCCTGGATTCAGTGTTCGGTTCTCCCTCCCTCTCCGCCATCTCTCCTTCCCCTTCTCTTATTTTCTCTCTCTTTCTCTGTCTCTCTCCCTCTTTCCTTCTCTGTATGTCTCTGTCTCAGTACCTATCAAGCACGTTCTGTGTGCCAGGCATGGTTCTAGGTTCCGGGGACACAGAAGTGAATGAGACAGACAGTGTTCCGCGTGGCCTCCATTCGAGTTGGGGACACAGAAAATAAAATGAACAAACAAGAAGAAAAGAGTTTCCCAAAAGAAGGGAAGGAGGAATACGTGATGGAGAGGCTGGCGGGGTGGGTGGGTGGCACGCAGTGGTGGCTGGTGGGGTTTGGCTGAGAGGATGGTGGAGGCCAGTGACTCTGGGGGACCATGAGCTAGGGGAGCGGGCATGGGGCAGGTGGCAGGGCCAGTCCCGTGGGGCAGGCAGTGGTGATTCTCATGCCAGGCAGTGGAAGCCAGGGGCGGGTTTTAAGCGAGAGAGCGACATGAACTGATCTAATGCTAAAATACACTCTCCATTTGTGGGTGAAGGACGGACCAGAACGAGGGCAGAAGGGACACTGGGTGCTCCCTGGAGAGGTGACTGCCTGTGTCCGAGCAAGAGCTATTGGTGGCCCGGACCAGGGTGATGGCTGTGGGATGGGGCTGGGTTTGAGGTGGATCCTGGAGGTTTTGCTGAGAGGTGGTGCTCTGGATTGCATGGTGGGAGGTGGTGCACTGATTGCACGGTGGGAAGATGGAAGGGCATGGCTGGGGGTATTGTCACAATTTCAATCTGGAGCCACACACCTGTCGACAGTGGCCTTGGCCTTCCTTAAGACCTTTGCCTGGCTGCAGCAAGCAGACGCCGTCTCAAAGTGATGGCCGTGGCACTCAGATGACACCGCAGACGTCGTCCACAGCCTCCCCAGGCCAGTCAGCCTTTCCTAACCCAGGTGGGCAGGGACCACTGGTACGGATCCCCGGCCGGACTCTCAAGGAGGACTCCGTGCCAGTGACCCCCGCTTCTTCACGCTTCTGTGCACTAAAGGCTGAAAACCAGGATGGAGCGACTGCCGGGTGCCTGCAACCACCGCATGGGGTGCCTACCCTGCAGGGCTGGGGCTCAGGGCGCCCAGAGGTGCGGCTCCTCCCTGGGGAGCACAGACCCTGGGGAGGGTAAGGATCCCTGTGTGTCAGGGACAGAGGTTGCGATGCACGCACAGGGGGAGTGCAGGCGGCCTCGAGAGAGGAGATCGGGCTTTGCTGGCACCAGCGCTGGGGGAAGCCCACAGGATGCTTGGAGCCAGGAGAGAGGGCAGGAAGGCTTCAGGCAGAGGGACCAGGCATGGAGGAAGGGAGGCACCCGGGCTCCCGAGGGGGTCGGCCAGGAGGAGCCTGTAGGCCATGGCGGAATCTGGATTTTCAGCTGTGGCAGAGCTGGTTAGTTGTCCCCTACTATCCGTTCTCCCCTGTTTCCATGATAAGACGGCTGCAAAGAAGAAAGACTACATTTCCCAGCGTTCCTTGCAGTAAAGCATGGCCACGTGACCACATTTTGGCCACTGGGGCAAAAGGAGAATGTCACGTACCAGTCCCAGCCTCTTGCCAGAAGCTAGCGTTGCTTCTCTTCTTTTCTGATTTTTCCTCCATCTGATTCTCTGGCTGGCAAGCCACCCTAAGCCGCCTGATGAGGGGCTCCCTGGGGATGGCCATGGTGCGCAGAAGGGGCCTGCTTCCCAGCGTCCTGTGTAGCTCAGCTCCAGGCTGCATCCTCCCGGGGAGAATTCAACACACTCTGCCTGGTTGCAATTTCCATTATTTGGGTTTCCTGTCACTCTCAGCGGGACCTAGTTCAAGCTGATAATAGAATTGCAGGCCTGGGGGGCATTGCTAGGTTTAAGCAGGAGCTGGCTGTGGGGTAGGGCTCGAGAGGGCCGCCAGGGAGGCAGGGCCTGAGTGAGGAGCCGAGGCAGTGGTCCAGGGGCCTGGCCAGGCCCCTGTTGAGGTGCATTTGGGGTGTGCTTGGGGCCGGCGCAGATCTTGGTGTCTTGCAGGTCTGGGGTCCATGGTTCTGCAGGTTCTCCTGTCGGCCCCCCGGGGTCGTGCGAATTCCTGGTCCTGTTCACCCTCTTACCTGCCTGGGCCTGGTCTGGAGATGGCATGAAAGGTCTGCTCCTGCTCCTCTCAGGACATCCCAGCCATGCTTGGGTAACTCTCCTCTGGTTTTTGGCTCTGTACTTCAATCCCGCTTTGCTGGGGAGCTCCTTGGGTCACCCCATATAGGTTTCCATTTTCTCCCCGATCTCATAGAGCGCTTGGATGGAAAGGATGTGCAGTGGTTGATTGTAGCTCATGGCTACAGGACATTTCCCACAGTCCGTGGGCACTGGGCAATAGCCACGATCTCACTGAAGCTTGGAGGTAGTTCTTGAGGTAGGAGTTAGTACAATCCTTAGTTTACAGGTTAGAAACTGAGGCAGAGAGATGTTAAAGTCACTTGGTGACTGGAGGAGCTGAGCTGGAACCCAAGCGTTCTGGCTCCCAAGCCCCAGCGTTCAGCTTCAGCTGCTTCAAGAGGCAGCAATTTACCAGCCTTTGTTCACTTGGGATTCTATTGTCAGGCTTTGGGGCTATTGACAACATTTTATTTAAAAAATGGTGCAGTTCAGCCTGGCCAATGTGGCAAAAACCCATTTCTACGAAAAATACAAAAATTAGCTGGGCATGGTGGTGCGCACCTGTAATCCCAGCTACTTGGGAGGCTGAGGCATGGGAATTGCTTGAACCTGGGAGGTGGAGATTGCAGTGAGGCGAGTGCACACTACTGCACTCTAGCCTGGGCAACAGAGCGAGACTCTGTCTCAAAAAAACAGAACAAAACAAAACAAACAAACAAATATAGTGCAGCTGTGAGTATCTTGACACCACTGACTTTTTCCTTTTCTTTCTTTGATTTTTAACATTTGCCTTCTTTCCTTGGGGTACAGTGCTTAGAGAAAGGTTATTGGACAAAAGATAGAAAAGCTACTTGGTTCTTATGATCAGATGGCTGTCAGGTGACTGACCCTCTCCTAGACCTAACTCTACTCCACTAAGCCTTCAAGGCGCTGACCTTAGGCTCTGTCCTCGGCTTGTTTAGTTCAGGTTTAGCAAGAGTCCTGCTGGGTCAGTTTAGTGAAAATCCTATGGGATCACCCTCAATATTTGATCAAATTCCTCATCCTCCACTCTCGATATCTTGTTACCCTGGCCTGCTTTCAGGAAGATTCCTGCTGAGTTGGCCGAGCAAGCATCCCCTCTCCTCAATGTCTCCTCTTTGTCATTTTCCACCCACCCGGCACCCTTGCTCCTGGACTGTACATCCTACTCATCCTTTGTAGAGTGAGACTGAGCCCAATCTCGCTCTCCTACAGCAAAACCCTATTGTGGTAGCCCCCCTGGAATAAGGTCTTCCTACCTGTCTTTAACAAGAGTCATGAATACTTTTTTCTTTATTTTAAAAATTATTATTATTACTATTATTATTTTTTGAGACAGAGTCTCATTCTTTTGCCGAGGCTGGAGTGCAGACTCCGTCTCAGATAGATAGATAGATAGATAGATAGATAGATAGATAGATAAATAAATGAATGATGCAAATAATTTAGTGGCTTTCATTATGCTATAAATAATTCATATAGGTCATTATTAGAGCTTTAATTGATAAGCCACTGTATTTTTATTTCTGATTTATATTTTATCTAAAATAAAAAAGTTAAGTAAGAATTAATATGGAAACTAGAATACAAATAAATTTTTAAAGGAATTATGTACCAGGGTCCTAAGATTATAATTACATAAATATTTGCATCAGGGTCCTAAGATTGTAATTGAGAATAACATTTCATACAGAGCTTTCTGACAGCTAAGATAAAAATATTACTAGAGAAAACCCATGGACTATTTAATAATAAGCAGTGAAAGTTCATTTGAAGCCTATCTCTATTAATTCAGAGCCTGGCTCTCCAAATTAAAAAGAGATAGGCTTCAAATGAACTGTCAATCGTGTCAGAATCTGAGACGACAACATTAGGTGCTCGCACCTGACGTTGTCATCTGAGATTCTGACACCATGGTTAGAAGAGAATGAGGCAAGTGTGTATCACCCAGAGGAAACCTCCACCTTTACTGGTAAGCTCTCACAACTGTATCCGTGAAACTCTCATTTCTCAAATGTTAACGTTCTCCAAAATAAGTATTTACAAATAGGGATTAGGTGAAGTTAAAAAGATTTCTCAAATACTAGACACAAAATGCACAGTTTTGTAACATTTTTCAAACATGGGTGATCATGAAGTCTTTCTTTTGGGGTATAATGTTGAGCTTCTGGTAAAGTAAATATCCTTTGGAATATATTAATAGTTTAAGAAACACCGCTCTATAGATAATAATTTAGATCATTTATAAAAATACCTGAAACATTTATTACTGTGTCTTAGAGTTTGAGGACATAGAGAAAAAAAATACAGCTGCTGCCCTCAAGAAGCTCTTGGTTCAGGTGGGAAACAATAAAATCCTTGAAACATGCCATGCTAAATGCTGTGACAGAAGCAAAGATTCTTGGAACTGGGAAATGTTTGAAGTGAGTTTTGGAGATGACCAGAGTTCTGTGGTGAGGCAGAGGAGGCTGTTTCCAGCGGAAGGAGCAGAACGTAGAAAAGCACCGAGGAGTGAAAAGAAAGGGACTACCTCTTACGTCCTTTCAATTGTATATATTTAAGCTCACAGGATCTTACATAAGGTTTTCAGTTCAGTTGATAAATATGTAATTATGTGATTATAAATTGTTGCTGTTGTTTTACAGATTGAATGTCAACCACTTTTACTGGCTGCGCATCTAGGAAAACTGATAATGGTGGAATTTTTATTAAAGAAAAATGCAAATATAAATGCAGTTAATTGTCTTAACAGGTACAGACCTTAGTTCTTATTGTGTTGTTTTTAAACCTGAGTGTCATTGTAGAGTGGTAGCGGTCACTCAAGTCACAAATATTATATTAATAAGAAGACTAACTTTTAATTATTGGGATATAGTGAGAAATATCAACACAGATCATCACACGTAGAAAAACAATTATTTGGACTGAGTAACATAAAGAACAGTATATAGCAGGATTTGTCTCTCTATATAGACATTATACACATAAAAGGCTTCTATATATAGAAAGCTTTGTATATTGATAGATGTTTGTTATTTGTAATATGATGTGGTGTTATTTATAATGTAATAATGTGATGCTTTTGATTGTATGATCTTATGTTAGCTAAAGAGGTTTCATGTTTTTCATTTCTACTGTGTTTTGGTGTTGTTTTTAATTGATATGGGGAGAGGGAGAAAAGATAGCTTTAAATGGATAAAACTTTACTTTAATGAAAACAAGCTTTAGGTTCACACAGGACTGGATTTAATCCCTAGTTTTCCCACTTGCTAGATGTGTGACCTTGGTAACATTACTTATCACCAAGTATGTTTTCTTCTGTGAAAAGGAGGGTAATAATATATCCTTCAAGGGTGGTTGTGTGTAAGTAACATTATATGTATATATATATATATATATATATATATATATATATATATATATATAATGTTAGAATGTCCAGCTTACAGAGCAAGGTGCTGATGTTTTGGAAACAATGGCTGAGCATATAAGTATGTGCATATATATAATATATATATACCCACACATATGTATGTAAGAAGATAATGTAAGTAACATCATATATAATATATACAATATATATTTTATAGATAATAATCTATAATGTATATTATATATTTTGTAGATAATATATAATATACAATATTTATATTTTATATATATATGATGTTACTTATGTTACTTATACACAAACACCCTTGAAGGATATATTATTATCCTCCATATACATATATTTATATATAGTGTTTAATTAAATGCCTAGCACATGCTTATGAGCATCATTAACTGAAGCTACGACTACTACTATTAGCATTCCTATTAATATTATTGTTTTAAGCCTGCAGATAGCTCTTATCTGACCCTTTAGGTGATTTTGCATTATAATGTATAGTATCAGACTAGGGAAGAAATGAATAATTTTTCACTTAAATTTGCCTACTGTAGATAGGTGGCCTGAGCATAGTTTCTTGCCCATCAAAAGACTTTAAGTTAGCAACTTTATGTCATACCATAGTGGGACAAGAGGCTTCCTTTTTGTTCCTTGCTTTTAACCTTTGTGGTAACTTGCAAAGATAAACCCTTGAGCACCCAAGATGCTTGTTTCTTAGTACATGTAATTGGGTTAATTCTACATGGACAGACAACATATTAAGTTGATAAAGTATATAAACTTAGCTTTTAAAATGTCATTAAAGTTTTTAATTACCTCTCTGTTATTTTAGATCGGCCCTCACACTTGCTGTTATTCGTGAACACAAAGATATAGTCATTCTTCTTCTGCAGCAAATATTGATATGTTTTCTCGAGATGTGTGTGGAAAGACTGCAGAAGATTATGCCTCTGAGGCTGGGAATTCAGTGTAAGTCTTTACATAAAAAGGCTAGTGAACACTAAATTGAAGTTTAAAATAATTGTAACAATTGCATCTTATATATCAGGTGAGATTTCATAGTTTGGTTCAAGTAGTTTTCAAGTGACAAATTTTCAAGTTTTTAAGTTTTCGAGAGTTGTGCAACTTCATCAGCCAGAAATCAAGCAAAAGGCTAGATAAGTAGCAGCAGGTGCAGGATTCTTGATATTGAAACTTTTAGGACTTTTCTCCTTAGGGATTCCAATGTTGTACATTTTATTTCCAGTATAACCCCTATGCATAGGATAAAGTAGTTTCATATGTTTGATTTTTCTAAATAGTTATTTGGGTCTCAAAATGTCCAGTTTATCAAAAAATCTTGTGCTGTGTACTGCGGACCATCTACTATAGCCTGATCATTGAATTTTTCAAGAACCTAAGGGGTTCCCTAAGTCCAAGGAAGACAATCAGTGTCTACAAGTCAGAATGAGAAGGGGAAAGGGTATTCTAATTTTTGCTTTGTTTTCATTGATTCTGTTGCTGCTTTCTTGCCATTGAAAGTACTCTTGCAGTCTGGTAATGATTAACCTTTGCCACCAGGATGCCCTTTCTGTTTGAGGTCCCTCAATCTTCATGTTGATCCATAAAAAGGCTTCAAAGTTACAACTATTTTTTTAGTTCACTTGCACATACTTATATGCTCAGCCATTGTTTCCAAAACAGCAGAACCTTGCTCTGTTAGCTGGATATTCTAACTTTATCAACATACATACTGAGCAAATTGACACTTTCACCCACACTCAAAACCTGCTGTAGAGCCCGCATTTTAACCTGGGCTTCTAGACCTTCATGGTGAGTTACTTTTTGAGTCCCTTTTTTTCTCTTCAAATATTAGTTGGGATAGTTCTAAACTGTCAGAGATATTCAAATAATGTTGTAGAAAGAGATCACAGTTTTTTCTTTATTGCTACCAGATCTGTACCCTGAGACTTTTTAAATAAACAGTGTAAGAGCTTTTCTCAGGTAGTGGAAGCTTCTATGCCATCCTTCCTTAGAGTAGGAGGCATCAACTTGTGGTTGGCCCCTCAAGTGATTTGTTTTCTATAATAATGAAGATCTCCCAAGCTGCTTGCATCACTATCTCAAGTTTGTAAAATATTTTCAGATTCTACCTTACAGGAAGCCATTCATCGGAATTATCTAAGTCTCAAGTTGGTTAGTTAGATTTAACAGAGCTAACCCTCATCCATGACTTATCAGCATTTATATGTAAAAGTAAGGCTTTGTATTTGCTTTGGCAGCACAAATACTAAAATTGGAACAATACAGAGAAAATTAGCATCGTGAGACATTTCATATTTTGCAGTCAGGGGAAGGTCATTTGACTGTTTGCTGGCTAGCTAAGTCACAGTTTGAATCGAAACAAAATGGGTGGCCCCTTATATTTGAATTGTGATTTTTCACTACAAAAACATTTGTGTAAGGTGATCTATAAACTGAGAATGGAGATAAGTAACACATGGGGTGTTGTGTAAATATTTTGTTAGTATGTATCTTGGAAATGAGAAAATGTCAACTTTCATCTACTTCATGGAACTTAAAAAAAATGAAAGTAGGGTTTTGTCTTCCATGTCAGTTGGAGATAACATCACTGATGGAGATTAACCATCATTCTAGCAAACATCTGGTTCAGTTAGAGTCTGCAGAGAAGTAATAGTGGTAGCCCAAGCCAGATCTTGACATCTGTTAGTTTTCTGCCCTTGGAATTGATGAGCTCAATAATAGTGAACAATCGTGTTACCTATTTTAATGAAATAATGTATTCATAAATTAATTTATTTATGAATTATGAAATAGTTGAGATGCCCTGAATTATAAGCCACAAATAATAGAACAATAAGCAAAATTAGGACTTAACATTTTTCTTAAACTGAAGCATTTGAATATTAGAACCTATGAAAAAATACACATTGGGTTTGATTTGGGATTTCAAAATAGTTTCAGCAATAAAGTTCAAGAACAAATTCCACTGCTTTACTATTTCTCTGTGAATGTTAAAAATGCTACTTCATTAAACCTATATAACAACCTAGTGAAAGAAGATAGTAAAATCTAGAAGAAGACATTGTGCATAAGAGAAGCAACTTGTTTAAGAGCAAATACCTGTTGACTATAGAGCCAGGACCTTCCAGTAAGAGCCAGGAAGGTGACTTTCCATTATGTCAAGCTGATGTGAGATAGTTTGCTGAGCTATACTGCCTTCACTTCATGAGTACTTCACCTGTTTTTATTATTTAATTAGAAAGGTACTAAGAAGTTTGTAGAGCTTACAGAAGAGAAGTGTATAGGATAATTAACATCCTGATATTGTTCAAGATACTCTAATAATTTAGTATATTTGGTAAATGTTTTTGATAATGGTATTAAAATATTAATTTCATTTATTTTTATACATAGCATTGCCGGACTAATTTCTGAATACAAAAGAAAGAAATATGAAGAGCTTTCTATAAATAGCAATCCGGGTAAGATTTCTGATAGTGAATTACTCTTGATGGTACTACCATAGATAAAAAAGAATAAAGATGTTTTGATTACAAAAAAACAGTTTAAAAAAATCAATTTAAATTGCACACATTTAAAAAATACTTAGTAGTCTAGATTTTCTAATTATTTAAAAAGTTAATTGTAGGTAGTTTATAATCTCAGTATTGTTTGAAAAAATTATTATTTTATGATGGTTCCTAATATTCTAGATGATCTTTTTGTGTAAATAAGAAAACAAATTTTTAAGTTATTACATTGCATGGTTTTTTATAGTCACATAATAATGAATTAGACTTTTTATATAATTAGAACTTCTATTTAACTTGTAAAATAAATTCTTTGCAGTTAGTAAATGAATCAGTAATTACAGTTGGCCCTTGAACAACATGGGATTTAGTGCTGCCAATGCCCATGCTGATGAAAATACATATTTGGTATGTTATATATATTATATATTGTATTCTGAGTACAAGAAAGTAAGCTAGAGAAAGGAAGTTTTGCAGTAGTTAAAGCTGTAGTTTCCTTTTAGTTCGATGCTTGAACTACTATCAATCTAGTGTAAGGTGTTCACCCATCCATGATAAAATAAAGTAAATTTACTCCATTTACTCATTTTAAAATGTTGGTCTTTTTCTTGCCCTTATGGCTTCTTCATTTGTTTTACTTAATTTTTTATTTATAAAAAAATAATAGTTGGTAGGGACTTTTTTCCTGTGAAAACCATCAATGAAGAGGCCATGTTGATCTAGGAAATATAAACATATTTATTTGGTAGCAGTAGAAATATAAAGCAGAAGCAGAAAAGAGGTACAGTTAATATGATTTAGTGAACATTGAATATAAAACATTAGTGGGGAGAGAGAAATCTTGGATCATTCATAGGTTTCCAGGTTGTGTACTGGCCTTTATACTGCACAGGAGAAAGGAGTAGGATGTGTTCACTGAATGGAGAAGTACAGCTGGTCAACAGAGAAGAGTAACTTCCCTTCCCTCCAACTCTGAGGTTGGAGATGCAGACGTAGAATGATGTTGTTATAATTATTAGGCAAAGTCATCGATCTCAACTGTCCATGATGCAGATGTAGAATGAGAAGGCATCCAGTGACAAAACCCTGGGAATGTCAACATTCCCTCCCGCCCCCAGGAGAAAAAGAATTGGTAAAGGAGAATGAGCAGTGGCTAGAGAAAAGTAGGAGAGGAGTCAGAGGAAGTGATGTGGCAAAAATAAAAATGTGAGAATTTTAAGGAGGGAGTATCAATTCTAACAAGTAAGATTACTAAAAAGCCAATTAGATTTAACTTTTAAAAGCTCTTTGGCAGTACCCTTTTCAAAAGAACCATTTTTGAGGTGTAATGTGAGCTGTTGATGTGATTGGTATATCTGGTGTCCAAATATGGAGGAACAAATCTACCAAGATCCTACGTAACTCTTTTGTAACTGCAGAAGCTACATGCACAGGGTCAGGGAAAATGGTCTTGACTTCTGATTACATGTGCCCACTCTTTTACAGAATTGTCAAAACCTAAGGGTAATGTGTGAGAAAAACTGCGGTCTTCTTATCTGCTCCTTGTGGAAATACTTAGTTTGTACTGAAATCCCTGATAAGTTCTTCTGGATGCATTCTGAAACAAAAGTCTGGCAGCAGTAACTGGAACCAGATTGTCCAAAGCACATACATCCCAACTCCCTCCAACATGGAATCATAACACAGCCACATTTCGAGAGTTTCAAGTTTCAATTGGAAGTAGTCTACAGACGAGCAGTTTGGAGAAGCTGACATCTTTTATATAATGTTATGGAGAAAAATATAAGGTGATATGCTAAGTATACCAAGTCTCTGTGTTCTGGGACACTTTGTTTTAGTGCAATTCCCTTTTCATGACCTCTTCTAATATCTCTACTTTTACTGTTTTCTTTTGAATTTCATCCCTAAAGAAAATATTATTAGAACACATTTCTAACATAGGTATTTTTGACAACTATATATGATTTTCTTTTAAGAGAATTAGCTACCTATTCTAAAGTATGTCTGGTATTCTATTAATCTTTAATGCTAAACTTCTTTATATCTTTAGCACAGTGACAGTGTAAGTGATGCTGGTCCTTTAAGATTTTAAGTTTCTTTTAAGTTTTCAAACTTTAAGTGTCTTTTAAATTTTCAAATTAAGTTAAGACACTTAAGGTGTCTTTTAAATTTTCAAACTTGACACAGTTTTAATGTAAAACACTTTTCTGGTGTTATATTTCTTCGAATATTGGTAATCTGTTACTTAGCTGGAATATTTGGTCGGTTGGATTACCACACCTTTAACCATCTATATATAACTTTCTTGATTTTTTTTTTTTTTTTGAGATTGAGTCTTTTGCTGTTTCCCAGGCTGGAGTGCAATAGTGTGATCATAGCTCACTGCAGCCTCAAACTTCTGGGTTCAAGTGGTCCTCTTACTTCAGCCTCCTAAGTCGCTGAGACTGCTACAAGCATATGCCACCACACCAAGCTAACTTTTTTATTTTTTATTTTTTAGAGACAAGGGTCTCTCTCTGTTGCCCAGGCCAGTCTCAAACTTTTGGCTTCAAGTGATCCTCCTGCCTCAGCCTCCCAAAGTGCTGGAATTATAGTCATGAGCCATCGTGCTGGTCCATAACTTCCTTTATTCCCCAAAATGAGTTTAAAGTCCTATTGGCCCTTACTTTAACAGATGATTTTAGTTTTAATAGATATTTTTAGTTTTATAAGAACTTAAGAAAAAAGATTAGAAACAAATTAAATGAGCTCTATGATTGATAGTACAGTATTATAACCAATGGCTACATATATTTCTATAATTATCACAATGACCTGAATGATGCAAATTTTTTACATATGTTTTTATTAATATATATATATATATATTTTGAGACTGTGTCTCACTCTGTTGCCCAGGCTGGAGTGCAGTGGCGTGATCTTGGCTCACTGCAACCTCTGCCTCCTGGGTTGAAGTGCTTCTCCTGCCTCAGCCTCCCTAGTAGCTGGGACTACAGGCGTGCACCACCACGCCCAGCTAATTTTTATATTTTTAGTAGAGATGGGGTTTCACCATGTTAGCCAGGATGGTCTCCATCTCCTGACCTTGTGATCCGCCCGCCCCAGCCTCCCAAAGTGTTTGGATTACAGGCATGAGCCACCGCCCCCAGCCTACTAATACATTTTAGAGACAGGGTCTCACTCTGTTTCCCAGGCTGGAGTGCAATGGTTATTCACAGGCACAATCTCCACTGCAACCTTGAACTTTTGATCTCAAGCAATCTTCCTGCCTCAGCCGTTGGAGTAGTTGGGACTACAGGTGTGTGTCATTGTGCCTGGCCTGATCCCCAATTATTATAAAAGAAACCTTGGAGAGTTGAAGACAATTGGCTGTGATCTTTTTGTTTCTCTTCTAGAAGCTTTCATACTATGGGGTATATTTTTAATCATCCATATTCTCAATTTTTTATTCTGGTTAAAATAGGATTGCTGCTTGTTTTTCATTTTTTTGGCATAATTATTTCTATTCCTTTATGGATTTATTCATGCGGAAATACAGGAATCTCAAAGGCAACTGTTAAGGAAAACAGATTAGGGAAAGGTATTCTATAAACAGCCTTCTGATTGTAGTCACAGGTCACATCACCTTAAAGAAAACTAATTTCATGTAATGCCACTGTGTCAGAGTTTCCCAAGACCACCTCTGTGTTTGGTGATTCACTTGTAAGGACTCAGCAAACAGTCCTACTCTGGGCTTTGATTTGTTACTGTGAAAGAATACAAAGTAAAATTGGCTCAGGGCAAAGGGGCATGTGGCAAGTCTTGGGGAAGCCAGGCACAAGCTTCCAGGAGCCCTCTTCTGTGAAGTTACCAGGATGTGCTGAATTCCTGTAGCTTTGAATTTTGACAGCACATGGGCAGTATTGTCTACCAATATGAGTCTGACAAGACAGTATCCAAGGTTTTTATGGAAGCTAGTTACATAAGCATTCTCTCTCACACATATACAAAAATTCCACACTTCCAGAAGAAAAGCAGCTGTTCAGAGTCAACCACATTGTTTATGCAAACAGTTTAGGTACAGTGAGCTACTTTTCTCAGGAAATGGTGACAAACCTTTAAAATGCAAATTTCCAAACACCAGCGAAGGGCCAGTTTTGCATGTAGGCATTTCTAAGAATGACAGTCTTATGACTGTTATATGAATTATTTTCTTCACAGCAGTTACAGCCCCAACTTAATTTTAGTGTCTTAAAAATTCTATTTAATAGTGAATAACATGGTGATATAACATAGCATGGTGCTTATTTCATTTGCGTCAGTTGCAACTTAATATGAAATACTAAGTTTCTGTGCTGTTAGATTTTGAAATTTTGGTGAATATTTAACAGGTTTCTATACAGAAGTTACTATGGTAATATTAGGTAATTATAATCTGTTCTTATTCAATTAACCTTTCAGTAAAATAGATAAAATAAATAATGATTTCTGGTTTAAAATTAAAATAAAAAATTTGTTTCATTTTAATTATATAGGTTTCAGTTTTGTTTTATATTTTGTTAAATTTCTGTTTATAATTATGAAATTTAAAAAATCAATCATTTATCCATTATTTTCTTCCCTGTTAATATAGTTATTTGCTTTATGTACTTTTATATACTACAATTCTGGAGAGAATATTCATATTGTGTTTCAAATTGAGTACATCTTGCTATAATATATGGCAATATATTATAGCAATATATTAGTAATAGAAGATGCAGTGAAAATCTTTTAAAAAAATTAATAACTTTATTTTAAGAGCAGTTTTATATTCCCAGCAATATTGAAAAGAACCTAAAGAGATTTTTCATATATGCCATCCCCCCTCACATGCATAGCTCCCCCCATTATGAATATCTCCCACCTGAGTGGTACATTTGTTACAACTGAGAAGCTTACATTGCTGGATCATAATAATCACCCAAAGTCCATAGTTTATATCTTAGTTCCCTTTTGGTATTGTACCTTCTATATAGTTGGACAAATGTATAATAAATGTACCTGCCACTAGAATACTTTCGCTGCCCTGAAATTCGTCTCTCTTTTTTTATTCCTCCCTCCCAACTAACCCCTGTCAACTACTAATATTTTTGCTGTCTCCATAGTTTTGATATGTCCAGCATAGTCATATATTAAGGATAATATAGTGGATATCTTTTTCAATATTACAAAACATAAATTTCCAAGATAATTGAATGTATTCAATTAAGCTATCCATTGTGCTTTTTTGCTTTTAGTTTATTAATGTAGGATTTAATGGCATATGCTTTACATGTTGAAAAAGCATAATTTATATAGACATTTGCCACATAATGAGGAGGGTTGAGGAAAATGGCTTCATGCTGTATACTACACAGCAATAACTGGATCATCCTTCTCTGTGAGATGGGTCCAGATAGACTAGAAGTGGAAAGGGACAATCTCAAGAGGCTGTACTTTATAAAACTGGAGTCAGAAAGTCTTTCCTATTTACCTTGCAGTTGGAAATAAGACCAGCTAGTGAATACTATAGGCATACAAATATGTTTCTTATTGACCTTCTTTCTTTGAGGGATCAGTTTGAAAACAGTCTATATTATTATAACATGACTCACTTATAACTAGGTTCTCCATCATGAAAAATGCCAAGAGAGTCATACTATTTTTGTTTACCTAAAGTGACAAAGATTTGTTGTTGTTGTTGTTTTTCACACTAGGTAGTGGGACAACTGTTGGCACATCTTGGTAGCTCCAGTGAGTTTATGGTTCCTTTATATATATTTTATATATTAGAAAGTCCTCCCTGGCAACTTGCCATACCTCCCTGGCGTTTCTTCATAAGCTTCTCTCTGAAAAGGAGACAAGACTCAGATTGGATAAGCTTTTAAGGGAGTGCTATTTCCTCTGTGTGTGTTTTTTTGAAGGAGCTAAAATGAAAGCTGAATTTAAGCATTGTTTGTGCCCTACATAGGGTGAATGAATAGCTAGAACTAAGCAAACTTACCAGAATCTTCCCTAGGAGAGGATTAGTGAAGGTAAGGATACTGATCTCTCTTAGGCTCTTCTGCACTGGCAGCTGAAAAGTCTTTGCAGGGATCCTTGACCCTGGTCTGTATGCTGTGTTTTGCCATAGAATAGAGTACAGTTTTCATAGACCTAGATTTTTTGTATTAGAGTGCTTTATCCTGAATAGTTTAAACTGAAGAAGTGGAGAAACTTGTGTTTCAACAAAATAAGTACAGTAATTTCCTCTTATACATGGGGGATACATTTCAAGACCCTTAGTGAATGCCTGAAAACATGGATAGTGCTGAACTCTATGCATACAATAATTTTTAAAAATACATATATATCTATAATAAAATTTAATGCATAAATTAGGCACAATAAGAGATTAATAATATCTAATGGTAAAGTGGATCAATTGTAACAATATACTGTAATAAAAGTTAAGTGAATGTGAGCTCACAAAATATCATGTACTATAGTCACCCTACTTTCTGCACTGATGTGAGATGATAAAATGGCTATGTGATAAGTGAGGCAAATGCAGTAGGCATTGCCATGTAGTCTTGGGCTATTATTGACCTTCTATTTGACTATATGTCAGAAAGAAGAACATCTGCTTCACGTGATCTTGGATCCGTGAGCCATGATGATGTTGTTGGTTGGATGTTAGGTACAGATTATGTCAATGACTAGTGAGCAGATATCATATATAATGTGCATGCACTTGACAAAGGGATGATTCACATCTTGGGCAGACTGGGATGTAATGGCTCAAATTTTATCATACTACTCAGAATCTTATGCAATTTAAACCTTATGATGTATATACATCTGGAATTTTATTTATGGACCATGGTTGACCGTGGGTAACTGAATCTGCAGTCAATAAAACCACCAATGTCATATTATGAAATATATATTTGGTCTTCAACCCCATTTTCTGTCATACAACTCCTAAAATCCTCAGAACTTCCCACATGATATCATTTGTATGCTAATGATTGACTTATGGCAGGCAGCCTCCAGATGGCTTCAGGGTGGGGCTCATCATCAGAGTGATCAGGGTGTGATTAGAGGGTTGGGGCTTCCAGCCCCACCCCTCACCACCTGGGATGTGAGAGGGGCTGAATGTTCAATTAATCAGTCATGCCTATGTAAGGAAGCTTTCATAAAATCCCAAAAGGATTGGATTTGGAGAGCATCCAGGTAGCTGTATTCAGCTACCTGGATGCTCTCATTCAATACATGAAGGCATATGGAGAATACATGGATGTTCCCAGAGGGTGAGTGCCCTGGGAGGACATGGAAGCGTGTTACTTTCCCCCCATATCTTGCACTATGCATCTCTTTATCTGTATCCTTTAATATTCTTTATAAGAAACTGGTAAATGTGTTTCCATGAGTTCTCTGAGCCACTCTAGTAAATTGATCAAACCAAAGAGGGGGTCCTGGGAAACCCAACTTGAAGTCCAACTGGAAGTTGATTAGAAGTTCTGGAGGCCCAGACTTGTAACTGCTGTGGGGGAATAGCCTTGTGGTACTGAGCCCTCAACCTGTAGATAATCCCCAAGTAGATAGTGTCAGAATTAGAGGGCACCCATCGGAATTGATTGTTTGCTTGTTGCTGGGGAAAAATACATATTTGGTCACAGAAATCTTCTGTGTTGATGATTGTTGTTGCGGTGTGAGAGAAGGGGAACATCATGTTGAATATGTGTTTTCTACACATACAGCAGATAAGGGGGACTGCTGTTCTAGCTGCACCTGGTTCATTTGTCCAGAAATCATGTTCTTTGACAATGCCTGCTCATTATATTGATTCTACTAATGATGCCATTTTCTGTCAGTCTGATATAATTCTGTTAGAATTATGACTATTTTATACCGCAATTCACATGTAAGGTAACAAATTTTGATAATATATTCTTCTTTGCATTTGATAAGTATATGCTAAGCATGTAAGAAAGGAAATAAGAGTTCTTAACTCATTAGTTGCCTACAAATAGTATAAATAATAATTTTAGTATAGCCTCCAAGTATGTTTCTAAAGCACTGCTTTGTAACAAATCATGAGAGTCTCTGTAATAAAGCATCAAAGTCTTATAATATTTTTCCTACAAGGTCTAAGGCATGTACAAAAGTTCATGATTTGTTTTTTCTTTTGAGATGAAGTCTCACTCTGTCACCCAGGCTGGAGTGGAATGGCACAATCTCGGCTCACTGCAACCTCTGCCTCCTGGGTTCAAGCGATTCTCCTGTCTCAGCCTCCCGAGTAGCTGGGATTACATACATGTGCCACCACACTTGGCTAATTTTTTTTTGTATTTTTGTTGAGATGGGGTTTCACCATGTTTGGCCAGGCTGGTCTCAAACTTTTGACCTCACGTGATCCACCCGCCTTGGCCTCCCAAAATGCTGAGATCACAGGCATGAGCCACTGTGCCCAGCCTGCATGATTTTTTTTTTAGTAAAGAGTCTTGCTATGTTGCCCAGGCTGTTCTCAAACTCCTGGGCTTCTCAAGTGATACTTCTGCCTCAGCCTTCTGAGTAGCTGAGATTATAGGGACAAGCCACTGTACATACACACACACACACACACACACACACACACACACGCACCAAATATATGCCCAGTAATGGGATTACTGGCTCAAATGGTATTTCCGGTTCTAGATCCTTGAGGAATCACCACACTGCCTTCCACAATGGTTGAACTAATTGACACTCCCACCAACAGTGTAAAAGCATTCCTATTTCTCCACATCTGCTCCAGCATCTGTTGTTTCCTGACCTTTTAACGATTGCCATTCTAAATGGCGTGAGATGGTATCTCATTGTGGTTTTGATTTGCATTTCTCTAATGATCAGTGATGATGAGCTTTTTTTCAGATGTTTGTTGGCTGCGTAAATGTATTCTTTTGAGAAGTGTCTGTTCATATCCTTTGCCCACTTTTTGATGAGATTGTTCTTTTCTTGTAAATTTGTTTAAGTTCCTTGTAGATTCTAGATATTAGGCCTTTGTCAGATGGACAGATTGCAAACATTTCCTCCCATTCTGTAGGTTGCCTGTTCACTCTGATCATAGTATTGGAAGTTCTGGCCAGGGTAATCAGGCAAGAGAAAGAAATAAACGGTATTCAAATAGGAAGAAAGGAAGTCAAATTGTCTCTGTTTGCAGATGACATGATTGTATATTTAGAAAACCAAATTGTCTCAGCCCCAAATCTCCTTCAGCTGATAAGCAACTTCCTCATAGTCTCAGGATACAAAGTCAATGTGCAAAATTCACAAGCGTTCCTATACACCAGTAATAGAGCACTAAATCATGAGTGAACTCCCATACACAATTGCTACAAAGAGAATAAAATAGCAAGGAATACAACTCACAAGGGATTTGAAGGACCTCTTTAAGGAGAACTACAAACCACCACTCAAGGAAATAAGAGGACACAAACAAATGGAAAAACATTCCATGCTCATGGATAGGAAGAATCAATATCTTGAAAATGGCCATACTTCCCAAAGTAATTTGCAAGTTCAATGCTATACCCATCAAGCTACCATTGACTTTCTTCACAGAATTAGAAAAAACTACTTTAAATTTCATATGGAACCAAAAAAAGAGCCCATATAGCCAAGACAATCCTAAGCAAAAAGAACAAAGCTAGAGGCATCATGCTACCTGACTTCAAACTATACTACAAGGCTACAGTAATGAAAACAGCATGGTAGTGGTACCAAAAGAGATATATAGACCAATGGAACAGAACAGAGGCCTCAGAAATAATGCTATACATCTACACCATCTGATCTTTGACAAACCTGACAAAAGCAATGGGGAAAGGATTCCGTATTTAATAAATGGTGTTGGGAAAACTGGCTAGCCTTATGCAGGAAACTGAAACTGGACCCCTTCCTTACACTTTATACAAAAATTAACTCAAGATGCATTAAAGACTTAAAAGTAAGTTCTAAATGTGTAAAAACCCTGGATGAAAACCTAGGCAGTACCATTCAGGACATAGGCATGGGCAAATACTTCATGACTAAAACACTAAAAGCAATGGCAACAAAAGCCCAAATTGAAAAATGGGATCTAATTAAACTAAAGAACTTGTGTGCAGCTTTATTTGGGAGTGTGCGTGGGGTACCTCTGAGTTTTAAAAATGAAGAAAGTAAGTAGTCGTGCTTTCCTGACTCTTTGGTAGACATAGCCTTTTAAGACAGTCATTCTGAGCTGTCATGGTCTTAGGGTTTTCTATACTACTAAAACTTATTGACGACATCTAACCAAGAACTTAATTTTTTTTAAAAAAAGAAAAAGAAATCACCCAAATACACATTAAAAACCTGTTATAACATATGTGCACATTCATAGATAACATGTAGAACGTGATTTTGTGTATTAAAACCTTGTAGAAAAGTTCAGACAGTGCACACAATGACTGCAACTTGGTCTTTGTAAAATCAGTGATATATATTTCAGATCTATCCATGTTGACCCAGTGAGGTATTCGATTTATTGTATGATCTAATGATATGCCATGTGATGACTGCAGCATATTTAATTATGCTCTCTTCATGCTGATACCATATGGACATAAATATGATGAGATACCAGCATGGATATGCTTATGTGGTTGCTTTTAATGACTTGTACTATATTAGAAATGAAACAGAAGTATTGGAAATCCTAGCAAGCATAGCTGTATGTCTCCCATGGCTGTGTTGATTGCAACTGTTTCCCCCTTAAAGCATGTCTTTTTGACATGTCATGATCCTGAGAAAATCCAGTGTGTGCTTTTCAGAGAATGACAGTAAGGAGAGGAAATGGCCAATGGTCAAAGTGTTACTTGTCCTCTTGACTCCCCCTCATGAATTTTAAACTCTAAACTACTCAGGTCACAATTTAGAACCCCTTTGTTGATCCCTATAGAGTGTTCCCGGATGTCAAATGACAAATAGGCTTTTGAAGAAAAAACACCCTGTAAAGCCGTATTGCTCTGGTTTTTGTGTGTGAATGTGTGTGTGTGTGTGTGTGTATTTTTTTCTCTTCTGAAAACTGTAAATAGAATAATTTTCATTACAAATGAAAATATTTCTGTTCCATATTTATTTCCTGTCTCATGGCACTCTTCTCTTCTTGGATCTAGTAAGGATCTCAGCATGTCTTATTTATACCTGCAAAAAATTACATCATTCTTCATTTTTCATGTCAATTACTGACATGTTTTCAAGTCTTCACAAGTTATTTCTGAAGATGTTGGTGCATTGAGGAGAGGCAGTGTCATTGTAGTTAAAGAAGTTTTTAAATAGGTTATGTTCAATAACATTTCAGAGCCCGTTTCTCTGGAATGCATAGACATAGTGGTTTTATGTGTAGTTAAACATAAAATAGCTCCACAAAGTCTTGTGTACGTGAAAGTGTTCATATCCTGGAAGATTCTAATTTACTACTCAGTACTGTCTCCTGGAGAGGAAAATAGGTAAGAAAGGCTGCTAAGCCTATGATAATAACTCATGATATGAGGTGAAAGCATAGAGACAAAATGAGAGATGATAGATACTCAAACCGATGTGAGTGAAGAACAGCTGTGAAAGAGTGTCTATGGGAGAGAGAAGGCCATGGGGCTGCTTTTGTGAAGAAGGAATTTGTACACGTTAGTCAAGTGTCTGATACATTTAACATTTTAATAAAGCAAAACCTTATCTTCACATGTGTCAGAATGGGATTGTACAGATGTCACAATACAGTAGTGGTGAGAATAATGAAGAAATGAATGTGGAGGGCAAAGAATGAAGTCCACCAATATGGATATTAGATTTATGAATGAAAAGGAGTGTATGTCAAATTGGGCAGAACAAAGAAAGTGGCTAGCTAGGTAATTTGGGGGTTTCTGATGAGGAGACTTGTGGGGAGTCACTTAATGGAAAGCGGAAGTTAGAAGGATGAGGGTGACCCCCAGGGTTTCATTTCTCCTCCCTAGAAGTTTTACACATCAATGATATGTGCTTCGTTCACATCAGTTAGCATATTGGGATGCAGCTTAATCTAGAAAAAGTGTTTTTTTTTTCTTTAGGAAAGGTGTGTTTGCTGAGGTAGTTATTTCATAAAAGGACCTGAGAGACCCCTATGGTATATTATTTCAAACTAGCTTTAGAAACAAAGTAATAAAAGAATGTATATCTTGAGTACTAAAAAAACTACCAATATTCTTGGCAATCATGACACACACACACACACACACACACACACATATATGTACGTATGTATATATTTTGTTGGTTACTAATAAGAAAAGAAGTCTCTTGTAATTTAGAGATTTTGTTTACCTTATTTACATGGGAATCTGATTATGCATGATTTCTTTGACATGTATGTTTTTGCAAAAGTGGAAAAAGAGATGGCAAAAGAGCTGAACTGCTGAATCTGGGAAATGTAGGAATCTTAGGAGCCTTCATGAGTACAAAGAAAATGATTTTTTAAATTATGACTCTAAGTATAACTGAACTCACTTCAGATGCATTTAGAATATTTGCATAAAAGATGATTTGATTTTGGCTGCTCCAGAAACTACTGGAAGAAGGAAAGAGTACTAGAATTCAGATAAACCACAGTGACTCGTTACTTCTCTTTGTTACTATTGGGAATCAGAGACATAGATTTTGTTGATATTAGTTATTCAAATGAAATAAACATGAATGTGCATACATTGGCTTTGTTTTTCAAGGAGCTAACTTTTGGATACAATAGCAATTTAATAAAAATTCCTTAGAGAATAACATGATACTTCAAACCAGACTATTTTAGAAACAAGAATAATGTTGAATTCATTAATTGATTCATAAAATGGTTATTTTCAATGAATATTGGAGTCATTTCCAAATGTGAAAGCTTATTAATATCTAATGCTTGTAGCAGTTTTATTTTGTAGAAGTATGTCAATATTGATAAATGATGATACTTTTTATTGAGGTTTACATATTATACCTTATTGCCGTGAGTAGATGAAAAAACTTTCAGAAGGCTGAACTACAGAACACAAGAAACTTGGGCAATAATTACACCACATGGGTCTGAGAAATAATGAATACTGTCTACTAGGATTCACCAAACATACATCCAAGCTGATCAATTTAGGACGCTTCCACTGAGGAGATGTGAAGTGTACATTCAGCTGAAGTGTCATCATAATTGTGTGCCTTCTCAGTTATTGGGCCAGTTAAAGAGCATGATGAATGATTGTAGTATAATGGTGTATTTCCTTCTCATCTCTTGCACTAAAGACATGTGAGAGCACGTACCACCTGCTTTGACATTGATTCCCAGGTGCATGAGTTGCTCCTCTGTTTTTAGACCACATTTGTTTTTATCCCTCCGCATATCCACATTGATACTAACACTGTTTCATTTTAGTTTTAGACATGTGACAAATCATATCATGTTTGAAATTGTAAGTGTATATTTCATGAAGCCTGTATTGGTGTTTTCTTCAGTGTATTTCTGTCATGTTCCAGTCCCAAGACATAAAGTATAAAACTTAAAAACCTAAACTAATAGGGGCAGGAGGATACAGCTTGATGGTAACAGTGCATGAATGTATGGATAATTTTATCATATTTACATATGACTGATTATGTATCCCTTTTGCTTTTCAGTGTGTTCTCAGAAACAACCAGCCTTGAAGGTAATTACACATTCATTTCTGTTTTGAACTATTAACTATATAGTCTGTGAAATACACTTTATGTATTGATTATTTTGTCTCAAATTCCATTCAGGCTACAAGTGACAAGAAAGATTCTGTTTCGAATATAGCCACAGAAATAAATGATGGACAAAAATCTGGGACAGGTAATTTTGCAATACACATTTAATGTCATGTTCACTCAGGATAGAAGAGAACTTCTCTTCCCTGAATAAATCGCAGGGGGCTCATTGAATCTGCACATTCTGATTCAGCAGGCCTGAGATTCTGCTTTTGTAATAAGTTCTCAGGTGACACTGATGTTACTGTTCCTTGGCCATGATCTGAGTAGTAAGATTATATTCTTCCCCACAGTGAAATTGGCAAGAATGATTGGAGAGCAGTGCAAGATATAATAGGCTAAGGGACAGCATATTCTTGCTTTAATTCTACAGCCTGTTTCCATTGTAAAGGGAAGGAGAAAGAGATTAAGTAATAAAAATTATAGGCATCAGATCATATTGTTAAAACCACATGGAAGAAGTGATTGGAATAACCCATAAACAATGTAGAAAGAGAACTAAGGAGACGTCTGATGTGGTAATTATTTTACTCAAGGAAGAGGGATTGAGAGGCAAGAAGGAGGGAAAAGGAGATGTTATTTATGTAATTTTGGGGTTTCTGCTGCAGAAACCTGATGGGACTCAACTTCAGATGCATTTGGAATATTTGCATAAAAGAAGATTAGATTTTGGCTGCTCCAGGAACTACTGGAAGCAGGATAGAGTGCTAGAATTGTGATGACACACAGTGACTCATTACCCCTCTTTGTTACTGTTGGGCATCAGAGATATATGTTTTCTTGGTATTAGCTATTCGAATAGGATAATCATGAATATGCATACATTGGCTTTGTTTTTCAAGGAACTAACTTTTGGATAAAATAGCAATTTAATGAAAATACTTTAGAGAATAACATGATCCTTCAAACCAGATATTTTAGAAACAAAAATAATGTTGAATTCATTAATTGACTCCTAAAGTGGTTATTTTCAATGAATATCAGAGCAATTTCCAAATGGAAACGCTTATTCATATCTAATGCTTTTAGTAACATTATTTTGTATAAGTATGCCAAATTTGATGGTTTATACTTTTTGATGAGGTTTATGTATTATACCTTCTTGCCATGAGTGGATGAAGAAACTTTCTGAAGGCTAAACTAGAGGATACGAGAAATGTAGGCACATTATGACACCACAGGGGTGTGAGAAATAAAGAATATTATATGCTAGGATTCACCAAACATATATTTAAGCTGATCAATTAGGGACACTTCCACAGAGCACTTGAGAAGTGTACATTCAACTAAAGTGCCATTATCATTGTGTACCTGCTCAATTGTCAGGCAAGTTTAAGAGCATGATAAATATTTGTAGTATAACGGTATAAATCCCTCTGATGTCTTACATGAAAAACATGCAGGAGCATTAGTCACCTGCTTTGACATTGATTCCCAAGTGTATGAGTTGCTGCTCTGATTTTAGATCACATTTTTCCTCATCACTCGGCATATCCACATTGATATAGACACTGTTTTATTGTAGTAACAGACATATGAAGAATAATATCACCTATGAAATTGGAAGTGTTTGTTTTGTGAAGACTATACTTCTGTTTTCTACAGTGTAATTCTGTCATGTTCCTGTCCCAATACACAAAGTAGAAAACATCAAAGCCTACGCTAATTCAGGCAGGAGGATACAGCTTGATGCTAACACTGCATGAAAGTATGAATAACTTTATCATATTTACATACGAGTGATTATGTATCCCTTTTGGTTTTCAGTGTCTTCTCAGAAACAACCGGCCTTGAAGGTATTACACTCTTCATTCATATTTTGAATTATTAACTGTATAGTCTATGAAATATACTGTATGTATTGATTATTTTGTTTGAAATCCCATTCAGGATACAAGTGACAAGAAAGATTCTGTTTCGAACATAGCCACAGAACTAAAAGATGAACAAAAATCTGGGACAGATAATTTTGCAATACACATTTAATGTCATGTACATTCAAGATAGAGGAGAACTTCCCTTCCCCAAATAAATCAGCAGGGGGCTCATTGAAGCTGCTCATTCTGATTCAGCAGGCCTGAGATTCTGCATTTGTAATAAGTTCTGGAGTGATGGTGATTCTGCTGATTTTTGGCCATGATCTGAATAGTAAGATTATAGACTTCCCTACATTGAAATTGGGAAGAAGAACCATTGGAGAGCAGTTCAAGACATAACAGGCTGAGAGGACAGCATAATTTTCCTTTAATTCTACAGCATGTTTCCATCAAGAGGGGAAGGAGAACAAGATGAAGTACTAGAAATTATAGGCGCCAGATCACACTGCTAAAACCAGAGGGAGGAAGTGATCATAATAATCCATAAACACTATAGAACGAGAAGTAACGAGACCGCTGATGTAGTAATTATTTTCCTCAGGGAAGAGGGATTGTGAGGCAGGAAGAAGGAAAAAGAAGTTATTTATATAATTTTTGGGGTTTCTGCTGAGGAAACCTGAGGGAACTCACTTCAGATGCTTTTAGAATGTTTGCATGAAGGAAGATTTGATTTTGGCTGCTCCAGGAACTACTGGAAGCAGGATAGAGTGCTAGTGCTAGAATTGTGATAAACCACAGTCACCTGTTACCCCTCTTTGTCATTATTGGGCATCAGAGATATATGTTTTGTTGTTATCAGTTAGTCAAATGAGATAAATGTAAATATGCATACACTGGCTTTGTTGTTCAGAGAGCAAACTTTTGGATAAAATAGCAATTTAATGAAAATACTTTAGAGAATAACATGATCTTTCAAACCAGACTTATTTTAGAAACAAAAATAATGTTAAATTCTTTAATTGACTCCTAAAATATATTTTTTTAATGAATATTGGAGTGATTTCCAAATGGACAACGTTATTCATATCTAATGCTTGTAGCAACTTTATTGTGTGTAAGTATATCAAATTTGATAATTTTTTATACATTTTGATTAGGTTTGTATATTATACCTTGTTCCCATGAGTGACTGACAAAACTTTCTGAAGGTTAAACCAGAAAATACCAAAGTGCAAGCTCATTATTATACCACATGGGTATGAAAAATAATGAATACCATATAATAGGATTCACCAAACATATATCCAAGCTGACCAATTCAGGACACTTCCACTGAGGAGCTTTGAAGTGTGCATTCATCTAAAGTGTAATAATTGTCATTGTGTACCTGCTCAATTTTCAGGCAAGTCAAAGAGCATGATGAATATTTGTAGTATAATGGTTTAAATCCTTCTGATGTCTTGTATGAAAGACATGCGTGATCCTGGCTCACTTCAACTTTCACCTTCTGGGTTCAAGTGATTCTCCTGTCTGAGTCTCCTGAGTAGCTGAGTTAACAGGTGTGCACCACCAACCTGGTAATTTTTGTATTTTTACTAGAGACCGGCTTTCACCATGTTGGCCAGGTTGGTCTCAAACTCCTGACCTCAAGTGATCCACCCACCTCGGCCTCACAAAGTGCTGGGATTACAGGCATGACCCACCGAGCCCTGCCTACATGATTTTTTTTTAAAATTTTTTTAACTTTTTAAAAATAAAGATAGAGTGTTTCTGTGTTGCCCAAGCTGGTCTGAAACACCTGGGCTTCTCAAGTGATACTTCTGCCTGAACCTTTTGAGTAGCTGAGATTATAGGAAAAAGTCACTGTGCTCTTTTATGTTTTTAATATTTTATAGGTTCCTATTGATTTAAAATGCATTTTACTTGTTGTTTAATAGTGCTTCCTGCTGTTGAACAGTGTTTAAACAGGTATGATTTCATAGATTTTTTAAAGTGATATGTTAACTTAGTGAATAGAGAGAATAGAAACTAGTATCCATTTAGTGTTCTACTCTGTGCTAGACACCATATTACATGCTTAATATTTATCATGTCATGTCATCTCCACACAGCTTTACAAACTATTTGTGCTATTATTGCTTTTTTACTAATTAGGGAACTCTGCTTTAAAGAGGTTGAAATATTGGCTCATGATTCCACAGTTAACAGGTAGCCAACCCATGATTTGGCCATCATCCTGCCTGGCTCTCAAATCACTTCATTTGCCCCTAAGCATAGATGGATACAGACCTATGCAGCAATGTGATCACGGTACTGGTTTAACTCAGATCAATTCAGAAAGTCACATTTTGTTATATATTAACTCTCTTTAGAGTGTTCCTTAGAAGCATGGATACTCCAAAAGTTTGTCCAAGTATTTTGGAAATGGCAGTGGTAACCATATTACATTTTTTTTAACCATCAAAATTTTAAAGGCAGATATCAGTTACCTGTGTCCACAGGACCCTAAGTTTTTCATAAGCAAGACCAGTCCAGTCCTTGAAAAATATTACCTTACTGTGCATGGAGATTATCTAAATATAGACCATGTTATGTTAACTATATTTAGCACATATTAAAAGGATATTTCTAATTCATTTCTCTACTTACTGCCTGCCCAGTTAGGTTTTCTCTTTAAGTGAGTACCCTGCCTAGTTCGCTGTAGCTTTTTCTTATTTTCTGGATTCTTCTTTTTTCCTTCTATGACATTTTAGTATTTTCTTGATTTCTTTTCACTTTCTCTACTGCTTTTCTTAGGGTTTAAGAACTTCTTTTATAGTTTTCATGTATGGCAGCTAAATATTCCCCATTTTCTTACAGACACAATCAGAGGTGCATAGAATTTCAGAATGTTAAGAAATCCTAGAGACTAAACAAAATATCCTCTAGTACTTGAATCCTTGCTTAACATCCTGATGAAGTGGTTGTTCAGGTGGAGAACCTGAAACTTAAAGAGAGAAAATTATTTGGATACAGTAAATCAGAGAAATGAGAATTGCACTCAGATTTCTTAGTTCAAAACCCAGTCTTCTTTTACATCATTCTGTCATTGAGAGATTTTAGTTTTAGGAAGAGGGAGTGGCTCTAGTGAACACAGTGGAAGAGGATGAGAATGGAATGAGCTGTTGAACCCAATGAAAGTGGATAAGAATGGAATTTGCAGGGGACAGCCAAATTTGAAGAGAAACAAACTCTTAGTTGGATAGAAATGAAGGTTTTAGGAAAAAATCTGAATATTTGGTTTAATGCAAGTTTGATAAAGATAAGGGAATTGAAAACACAGGATGTTGGGAGCTATCAAGAAAGGCATATTAGAATACGGCATTCAAGGAGTTCTGAAGAGGTTGCTGCCTTTTTGTTTGTTTAACTGGAGGAACTGACAAACTTCAAGGTTTTATTGAAAAATGTTAAAAGAATTTGAGCCACTGGAAAGAGTCTCTGGAGCAGATAGGAATGTGGTGTCATCCTCTTCCATCCCAGCTTACAGAGGACTTAGAATCCCTCAAGGACTAGGGAGCTGGAGATTGCTTAAGTACATAGATCTATGACCCAGAGTGGATGTCTCTTTTTTTCTGACTCTTTTCTCAATTCTCTCATGTACATGTAGGGTAGGGCAAATGTAGGATTGGCCGGCAAAACGGCAATGAAGCTTCATTTGGGTAGTTGGTAACATGCATATGCTTGGGGTGGATGACTGAGACTAACTTACTTTCCAGAAGCAGAGGAATAGAGAGATCCTACTCTCAATTATGTTAGCCCATCTTTTGAGGAATCTGGGCTTTCCTAGGCTGAAGATGTAGATTGGAGATTGCCACAGATCCCTGCAGAAGAGGGATCCAGAAGTGGGAGCCCATAGGAAGGAAGATATTTAGATAGTGATGAATGAAATGAAACTACAAGTACTTAGGAGGGAGACTTTTCCAGCAGTCTCTCTCTTGGGTATCTGAGTGTCTATGAAGGTTCTTAAGCTTACTGGTTTTTGTGGATTTGAATAAGGCAGGATCTATATAATGACAATAATTGGATTTTAAAATTTTTAATGTTTTAATCTTCTGTGAAGAATATTCCCAATAACAACCTAACAACCTATACATTTGTACTTTGACTTTTGCACACTCAGCTTTCAAACATTTGCGGTGTTTCAGGGGGCTCCCTGTAGTGTTCTAGGGTGAAGAGAATCAATGGGCCCTCTTTAAGTAGCTTACATGCTGAAGATCCAAGACTCCCATTTTCCCGTGACACAGATTAGTCTTTGAATCAGAAATAGATAATGCAGAAGAGACAGTGCCTTTTCTACCTTGTTTTAGGTTATCAGGTTTACTCCAGTTCAGTAACAAAAGTTGTGTCAGATATCAACTGGATTTTCAGTTTAGCCTTTAGGGTAGATAATTTATAAGGACAAATTATTGTCTGGCCGTGCCGTTATAATGCCTGTCACTATTTGTTACGGGTTTAAGGGTGAGTCTGCATTGGATATTTCATAGGTTGGGAGAGGTGGAGGCAGAAATAGGTAACTGAAATGTTTTCTAAAATGGAAGCCATATCTTAATTATACCAAGAAATATTATTTAATATGCAGATAACTGAGTTTCCTCAGACTTTGTTTTACCATTTATTTTGGAGGGGACATGCATGTATAAACTGATGGTTTTTGTTTTCTTTTAAGAAATGAACGTGCTCATTTTTGTTGTATCTTTTTGCTCTGTAGGAGTCTCTACAGACCGGATGCTGTTGCACAGCCTGTGACAGAGGATGAGTTTGCTTTGGAATCTGAGGTAGAGTACTCTCTTGTGAAATTAATTTTCTCACTCTGAATCTCATTTTTTGTATTATTTTCTTCTAAAACTTAGCAGTTGTCTACCTATCATTGTTTTATGTTAGTATTAAAACTTTTATTAGAGATAACCATTTTAAAGAAATGGGAGGGGTTAATTTTAATTTTTTTTTACTTTGGCAAATAATAAATAGTTGATAAATTCTTTGAGAGGTGTGATCTGAAAAAAAATTTGCTGGAAAATACACAGTGACAGAAAAATGGTGTTCGGGAACGCTTTCCCACAATAGAGGAGATACAAATTTTGGTCTAGGCTTATTTGAGTGTTTTTACTTTGAGTTGTATATCATATGAGTGTGACTAATAATACCTCTGTTTAAATGAATCTTTAATACATCAGATGACTTATCATAGAAATCATGGAATCACTCTGTTACACATAGCATGTGGTTTCTTTTTATTTCTTGTACACATATTTTGATATCATACACTATTTTTGCAGAGAGCTATTTCCTTATTTTTATTCATGGCTCTATAATTAGACTAAAATAATATTAGAAATTGTGGAAATTTAACTAGACATGGTATCATGTCCATGTAGTCCCACCTATTCAAGAGATGAAGCCAGGAGAATTTCTTGAGCCCAGGAGTTTAAGACCAAGCTTGGCAATATAACAAGAGCTTATCTCTAATTTCAAAAAGTCGTGGAAGTTTAGAAATTTAAATTCTGTTCTCAAATCTGTATTAGAGAAGGTTTACACAGTGTTTTCCAAGCCTTTTTTATTTAGAGTATACTTTAAACTCTTTATTTAATTGAAAAATATGCATTTTGTTTAAAATAACCTGTTTGATAAACAGATACTCTTCATATTCCTATGGTCAGACTTTAATTTCACAAGGTTTTTGCATTGTAATTAAAAGGAATCCACTCAGGGTCTTTGTATCTCATTCTAAATTTCAAATTTCAGAGGCTTTTGTGCTTAGTTATTGAAAAAATAATTGTAAAGCTCCTGCATTACTACGAGCCACTTGAAACTAGAAAACCTATTTGTATGTATCCTGGAATACACAGAATAAGGTCTTGCATGTAAGAAGCATTTTAGTAGTTTTTCATGTAAATCAACAAACAAGGAAATGGGTTTTTTTTATAATGGAATGTTACAGGTAACATAATATGCATGACATATCTAATAATTCTAGTTCAAAACCCAGTCTTCTTTTACATCATTCTGTCATTGAGTGATTTTAGTTTTAGAAAGAGGGAGTGGCTCTAGTGAACACAGTGGAAAAGGATGAGAATGGAATAATGAGCTGTTGAACCCAATGAAAGTGGATAAGAATGGAATTTGCAGGGGACAGACAAATTTGAAGATGTAGATTGGAGATTGCCATGGATCCCTGCAGAAGAGGGATCCAGAAGGGGGAGCCCATAGGAAGGAAGATATTTAGATAGTGATGAATGAAATTAAGCTGTAAGTACTCAGGAGGGAGACTTTTCCAGCAGTCTGTCTCTTGAGTATCTGAGTGTCTATGAAGGTTCTTAAGCTTGCTGGTTTTTGTGGACCTGAATAAGGCAGGATCTATATAATGACATTAATTGGATTTTATAATTTTTAATGTTTTAATCTTCTGTGAAGAATATTCCAAAAGTACATTTGTACTTTGACTTTTTTTACACTCAGCTTTCAAACATTTGCAGTGTTTCAGGGGGCTCCCTGTAGAGTTCTAGAGTAAAGAGAATCGATGGGCAATCTAAGTAGCTTACATGCTGAAGATCCAAGACTCCCCTTTTCCCGTGACACAGATTAGTCTTTGAATCAGAAATAGATAACGCAGAAGAGACAGTGCCTTTTCTACCTTGTTTTAGGTTATCAGGTTTACTGCAGTTCAGTAACAAAAGTTGTGTCAGATATCAATTGGATTTTCAGTTTAGTCTTTAGGGTAGATAATTTATAAAGACAAATTATTGTCTGGCCATGCTGTTATAATGCCTGTCACTATTTGTTACGGGTTTAAGGGTGAGTCTGCACTGGATATTTCATAGGTTGGGAGAGGTGGAGGCAGAAATAGGTAACTGAAATGTTTTCTAATACAGAAGCCATATCTTAATTATACCAAGAAATATTATTTAATATAAGGATAACTGACCTTCCTCAGACTTTGTTTTACCATTTTTTTTTGGAGGGGACATGCATGTATAGACTGATGGTTTTTGTTTTAAAAAATGAGCGTGCTCATTTTTGTCATATCTTTTTGCTCTGTAGGTGTCGCTACCTACTGGATAATGTTGCACAGCCTGTGACAAAGGATAAGTTTGCTTTGGAATCTGAGGTAGAGTACTCTCTTGTGAAATTAATTTTCTCACTCTGAATCTCATTTTTTGTATTATTTTCTTCTAAAACTTAGCAATTGTCTACCTATCATTGTTTTATGTTAGTATTAAAACTTTTATTAGAGATAACTATTTTAAAGAAATAGGAGGGGTTAATTTTAATTTTTTTACTTTGTAAATAAGAAATAGTTGATAAATACTTTGAGAGGTGTGATCTGAAAAAAAAATTGTTGGAAAATACATAGTGACAGAAAAATGTTGTTTGGGAACGCTTTCCCACAATAGAGGAGATACAAATTTTGGTCTAGGCTTATCTGAGTAAGTGTTTTTACTTTGAGTTGTATATCATATGAGTATGACTAATAATACCTCTGTTTAAATGAATGTTTGTTACATCAGATGACTTATTATGGGAATCATGGAATCACCCTGTTACACATAGCATATAGGTTCTTTTTATTTCTTGTACACCTATTTTAACATCATACAGTATTTTTGCAGAGAGCTATTTCTTTATTTTTATTCTTGGTTCTATATAATTAGACTAAAATAATATTAGAAATTGTGGAAATTTAACTAGACATGGTACCATGTGCCTGTAGTCCCACCTATTCAAGAGATCAAGCCAGGAGAATTTCTTGATCCCAGGAGTTTAAGACCAAGCTTGGCAATATAGCAAGAGCTTATCTCTAATTTAAAAAAGTTGTGGAATATTAGAAATTTAAATTCTGTTCTCACACCTGTATTAGAGAGGGTTTACACTGTGTTTTCCAAGTCTTTTTTATTAAGAGTATACTGTAAAATCTTTATCTAATCTAAGAATATGCATTTTGTTTAAAATAACAACCTGTTTGATAAGCAGAGACTCTTCATATTTCTGTGGTCAGACTTTAATTTCACAAGGTTTTTGCATTGTAATTAAAAAAAATCCACTCAGGGTCTTTGTATCTCATTCTAAATTTCAAATTTCAGAGGCTTTTGTGCTTAGTTATTGAAAAAATAATTGTAAAGCTCCTGCATTACTACGAGCCACTTGAAGCTAGAAAACCTATTTGTATGTATCTTGAGTACCCAGAATAAGGTCTTGCATGTAAGAAACATTTTAATAGTTTTTAATGTGAATCAACAAACAGGGAAATGGGCTTTTTTTTAATGGAATGTTACAGGTAACATAATATGCATAAGATATCTAATAATTAAATCTATTAAATGTCTTGAATGTTCTGAATTTATCTTTTCTTCTAATGTTGAGAATCTATAAGTTGAGGTGAGTTATGCTGAGAAAATATGTCATAGAATAAAATGAAAATTGGAAAAGATGGAAAGGAAATAGGAAAGGTGGATACAGCGTGTCTTCTAATATCTTCCAACTGGAAGCTTAGATTAGGATTTTAGATTAAATTTTCAAAGCCCCAACCATGTTCTATTAAATACATATTTTTCAGGGCATACATTACTCTTTTGAATTCTGAATAAAAATTCTTTCTCCAGGTGTTAAGTTGCTGGAATTCTATTGTGTTTTTTATTCCTCTCTCTGTCTCTCTCTCTCTCTCTCTCTCTCTTTGTAGTAAGAATGTTTCAGCTTTCAGGTGAATGATCATGTTTAACTCTTGGGATGTGTTATTTTATAGTAAACAAACTAAACTTTTTATTACATAAGTATTTACACAAAACAAATTGTTGAGTAAATGCTAACCAGCATTATTAGGCATATATTATGAACACAAGCTTTTCTTTTAAGCTCATATTTGATTGACTGGTCATGTCTCTTTTTTTGTTTGTTTCTCCCTCCTTCCCCTTTGTTTAAGAATGATTTACCTCAGTCTAACTTTTTCCTTGCAGACCACATGTCTTTAGTGTCTATTCTTTTGTTTCACCTCTGTTTCTGTTGTCAGGATACTTAGTTACAGCTTTCTATTTAGTAGCTATGTGTGGCCTTCATTCGTGAATCATTGCTCCATAAGGTGGATGGTTGCTTTGTTCTGTCTTTTTTGGAAGGAGCTGAAGTTATACAATAATTTGCTTTTAGCTTTTGACACACAGAATAGAAGCAACTTATACCGATTGCGATGATAGCCCATTTAAATATAGTACTACTAAAAACTACATTCTCACATTTTTTCCCACAGAAAGTAATTCACACAAATATATATCATGCATAAATATTTTGAAAACTAAAGTGATTAATTGACTTTTTATTGTTAGTTTTGTTCAATATTACTCTAAATTACATATGAGTAAATTTTTGTCCCAGTTTGTTGTGGTTAATAAAAGAAACTGATAGATATCATAGTATTTGTATAATAATCAACTGGGGTTGAAAGGAGTAACATTTTGAGAATATCTGTATCACCAATCATAATCATCATCTCATGTGAATATGTAAATAAGTAAATGGCAGACTTGAGGTTTGGATCTACATATGAGTGACTTCAAAGTCTATCCTTTTTGTGTTAGATCGTGTAGTAATGGTGGCAATTATCATTATTTTAACTTGCTGCATGTTATTCTTAAACCTATTGACTTTCTTCTAGAGCATTTCAGAACCATACTTTAAGAACAGAGGACTATTTCTCAACAATCTGCAGAAAAGTGTAAGCTATTTGAAACCTGACTATTGTATTATCTACTGATTCTTTTTTTTTTCTTTTTCTTTCTTATTTTTTGTAGACAGAGTGTTACTCACTGTTGCCCAGGCTGGAGTGCAGTGGCATGATCTTGGCTCACTGCAACTTCCACCTCCTGGGTTCAAGTGATTCTCCTGCCTCAGCCTCCCGAGTAGCTGGGATTACAGGTGTGCACCACCACACCTGGCTATTTTTGTACTTTTGGTAGAGATGGAATTTCACCATGTTGGCCAGGCTGGTCTTGAACACCTGACCTCGTATGATCTGCCTGCGTCGGCCCCCCAAAGTGCTGGGATTAAAAGTTGTGAGCCCCCACACCCGGTTCTTATTTATTGATTCTTAATTACACGCATTTCATCTACTCTTGACTTTGTTTTTACTGTAGTAGATGCTGCATGTGGCATTGAAAAAACAGAAAATGAAACCTTGTTTGAAGACCAAAATGTTGATAAGGTAAATGAAGATATGGTTAAAAGCCAACATAGAATAATCAGAGTCCAGTCCTGTTCACCAACTCACTCTTATCTGTTAATGATCTCTAGTTTTACAATGGTAAATTGTTTTATTTGGAAAATATTTTTCCCATGCTTTATTCACTTGCCATCTCCCTGTCTTTATAACGATGACAAGGATCCTATAAAGGAATGGAAGTTCTCCAGGTAATAATAGAAAAGAAGTGTAACAGCAAGGGAAATATACGCATGGGACTAGGATTCCTAAAAGGTCGTAGGAGTAAATGATTGTTAGGTTTGCCATTAGGGAAGGAAAGAAGTAGAAAGCAACCTGAAAGAACAGCTCCACAAATACAAAGGTGAGGAGGGGAAAGAAGTAAGAATACAGAGTTGAATAAGAGTGTCAAGATGACAAAGATTAGTATAAAACACCTCAAAAATGGTGAATTTAAATGACAGTAGAATGTCTCCATATCATATTATAGAATTATTTTAAATATAGATTAGGAAAAGAAAGCCAAGTAATTAAAAAAATGCTCAGATTCTTCTGAGTGACTTACGGGTGATTTTAATAAAGGATTGGAAGAAAATTTATGGGTGACTATATTTAACATTCTGTTTTACATTTAAAAACGGCCAGGAGAGAATAACTTGAATATTTCTAGTTTAAATAAAACATACATATTTAAGGTAATGTGTCTCTCTGTTACCCTCATTAGATTATATAGATGGATCAAATCATCACACGTACACTGAAAATATATGCATCTATTTATTAATTTAAAAATTCTAAATGGAAAGAAAATTTAATCCTCACTTTTTAAAATTTCAGTAAAGTGGTGTCTCATATTTTATCTAGTGAATGCCGTGTTCATAGATAATGCAAAGTAAAATGTGTTTTAGGCTATATCAGATTTTGAATGAATCATTAATTTTTGACTCTTGTTAAAAGTTTTTTAAAGTAATATTTGGTATATTCCTAAGTTGCTTAACTAATTTATTTCACTTTTACATAATCTTGGCAGCTGTTTTAGCCTTTTTTTGATAATAAGAGAGAAAATAAATAAGTAATTAAATAATAAAAAATAATAAAAATTAATTAATACATAAATTAATAAAAATTAAAATTTCTGGTTAATTTTTTTTTTTTTGAGAGGGAGTCTCACTCTGTCGCCCAGGCTGGAGGGCGGTGGATGATCTCGGCTCACTGCAAGGTCCACCTCCCGGGTTCATGCCATTCTCCTGCCTCAGCCTCACGAGTAGCTGGGACTATAGGCACCCGCCATCACGCCCGGCTAATTTTTTAAAATATTTTTAGTAGAGACGGGGTTTCACTGTGTTAGCCAGGATGGTCTCGATCTCCTGACCTTGTGATCTGCCTGCCTCGGCCTCCCAAAGTGCTGGGATTACAGGTGTGAGCCACCACGCCTAGCCATTTCTGGTTAATTTTAAATGAGGTTTCTAATTTATATTCATTGAATGAGAAAAAATATATTTTTAACCTGGAACCCTCTTAAAGAAATAAATTATTACTTATTTCTGGAGCTAGTCTGACTTACCTTGTGCTGATAACGTCTGTACTTAAGAACATACATGTGATGAATGCAATCAACACTCATGATTGTTTTCTAAACAAAGTACCTATTTTGATAGAATTGTAAGGAAAGAAATATTGCCAACAGAGTACACAGAATTATCTCTGGAATATTACTTTTTACTTTTAAAACTATCTCCTACAGTTGGGACATTTTGTATTATTCTCTGGAAGCATTATTAACTTTAGTATTTATAGTTGTTATACCTTGCATATAAATTGATTCAGCTCTAAAACTCAGGAATCCTTTTGACTTGATGTTTAAAATAAATTTCTTCTCTCTTCATGTCAGTATTGGGTCCTGATTGACAGGCATAGTGTATTTGAAGACATGTAAATCTTCAGCTTGCATAGTCATATGATTATTTTACTTGATCCTTTCTCTGATTTTTAACTATTATCTTTATGGCATAAGTAGGCAATTAGAGCTATTAGTATATAATTTACAGGAGAATCAGAAAACCATATGAACTTTAAAATAGGTTTTACATTTCTCTCTTATATTTTAGTAGCACTTAAAATGCCTTATAATTCTATAATAGAATAAACATTTGTGCAAGTTAAACTTTTAAGATGATTTTTTAAAAATGAGCTTTCTTAGGATACCTTGAATTACTGGTTTAGATAACTGTTTTCATTAAGTTCAAAAATGCAGATGACCATAATATTCCAGAAATAAATATCTGCATATATTAAGAAAATATATTTTATATCTTTTAATCCAGTATAGAAATATATAATTGAAATTTTGAATCCCATGTTTTGTTTTCTTTTTATTTTCAAAACTTCAGTGTTCTTCATAGGTTTAAATTATTGAATCCTACCAGTTTAGTATATGTTACAAATGTTGACCTTCTCAACAACGTATGGTTTTTTTTTGAGTAAGGTCATCTATTTCTACTCCAAATGTATTTACCCAGATCAGTCTTCTAAGTCCCCTTTGTGCCTCCAGTTTAATAGGTCTCAAACTGCCTTCCAGATTCTTTCCTGACTCTTTGTAATCTACTCTGTCATCTGGCTTCCCAATTTTAGTAAATAACACCAAGAAAGTAGCAATGAAACATTGAAGCAGAAAAAACTGCACTCCAGGTTTCCCTCACATTGCCAATCCAGTGACTCACCAAATTTTGTATTTTCTACCTTTAACCATTTCTCATATCTTATTACTGTAATACACTGTCTGCCCTATACTTTCGGAATGTTTGTTTTTGTTTCTCTCTTCTCCCCATGTTTATCTATCTATATATGTCTTTCAGGGTGACCTTTCTTAAACATGTTTACTTTTATCTAACTCATCTGCTTATGGCTGGACCCTCATTACACGAAAGAAACATTTACATTCTAGCATAACACTTATTTTGCGGTTTGGCCTGTTTCTCCCATTTTATCTCTCCACTCCACTTTCTCGGTCTGTGTCCAAGTTTTACCACGTTATTGTGGTATTTCTTATTGGCTATGCTGTTTCATGCTTTATTTTTTTGCACATGCTGCCCTCACTAGAAACACTTCACACTCTTACTCTTCACTTGTCTATTTTAAAAATAGAACCCTGAATTTGCAGTGTCTCAGAAGCTTCCCAAGTAGAAATAAGTGTTATTACCTTTGTGCTATCACTGTTTTTATTGACTTGAATTGTAGAAATAATGAATTGTGTCTTTCTGCTTTTGTTTGTTTTTATAAATTTCTTTTTTCACTTGATAAATAAATAAAATTAGTATTTTATTCATATTATCAGATTTTCCAGTATAGACCTTATGAATTTATAGACACAGAAAATGTTTCTTGAATTACTGACTGAGTAGTAAATATAACATTTTCTGAAGATTTCTTTTTTTTTTTTAAATAGGAATGAAAAGCACTACCAGCAACTGGACAAAAAGCAAATGGTATTGGTATTATAAAAAGTGCTTCATGAGAGCAATCAAATAATGATAATGTTATTTTTTGTGTACAAAAAAACAAAGGTGGTGAGGCAGTGAATATAGCTGAATAATTTTCTATGCTTTAATAATATAATTTTTGAAAATAAATATAACTAATTTAAATATAATTTAAAATAAATTTAAAATTAATTGTTAAATTACATTAAATTATAAGCCTAATTTTAATTAAATTGTAAATATAATTTATTAAATTTTAATAGTAAATATAATGTAATTTAAACATTCTTTTTCTTAAAACTTTGGTGAACACTTAAACTTGCAGATCAAAATATAATATTCATTGTTGAGAAATGGACATTAGTATATTTGCAAAAAAAAATGTGAGGTGGGATGGTGTAAATTAAGAAAGCAGCTGGCTAGGTAATTCGGAGGTTTCTGATGAGGAAACTCGAGGGAATTCACTTTATGTAGACTCAGTATATTCCCACTCAAAGAGAAGACTAAATTATTGCTGCTTTGGAGCTTACTGGAAGCAGAGGATAGAAGAACGACAGGAAACCACAGGAACTCATTTCTTCTCTCTATAGGGGTTACACATCAATGATATGTGCTTCATTCATGTTTGTTAGTGAACTGGGATGCACTTGGATATCAAAACATTGGCAGTTTTCTTTAAAAACAGTGCTGTTTTTGATGAAATAGCCATTGTATAAAAGTACCTCAGAGGCTGCTATGCTATTGCATATCAAACTGACTAGAAAAAAACAAACGAGAAATTTATTTCTTGAGTACTAAAAGTGTAACTGTCCATAATCATGGCAAATATTTTGATATGTAAAAGTTGATTAAGCCAAGCGCGGTGGCTCATGGCTGTAATCCCAGCACTTTGGGAGGCTGAGGTGGGAGGATCACAAGGTCAGGAGATGGAGACCATCCTGGCTAACATGGTGAAACCCCATCTCTACTAAAAATACAAAAAATTAGCCAGGCATGGTGGCGTGTGCCTGTAGTCCCAGCTACTAGGGAGCCTGAGGCAGGAGAATCACTTGAACCCCGGTGGCGGAGGTTGCTGTGAGCCGAGATTGTGCGCACTGCACTCCAGCCTAGGCAACAGAGCAAGACTCCATGTCAAAAAAAAAAAAAAAAAGAAAGTTGATCATTATGAAAAAAAAATCAATGATGATTCAGAGATTTTTGGTTACATTTTGTAAATGAAAATCTGAGTACTCATTAGTTATTTGATGTGTAATGCATACTTTTTTTGCATAAGTGAATGAAAAGATGGCAAGAGAACTTAAGTTGAGAATCCAGAAGTTGAAAATATCAGAAGTCTTCATGACTGTGGATAACATGAGTATTTTTAGAAACAATTTTTCTCCAAGTAGATATCTAAACTAATGATTGAGAGCACTTCCTGCAAGCAGAAGTGAATGATACATTTTCTTTTCTTTTCTTTTCTTTTCTTTTCTTTTGTTTTTTGAGACGGAGTCTCGCTCTGTCACCCAGGCTTGAGTGCAGTGGCGGGATCTCGGCTCACTGCAAACTCCACCTCCCGGGTTTACGGCATTATTTTCCCAAGGAAGACGGATTATGAGGCAGGAAGGTGGGAAAAGAGGAAGTCATTTACATAATTTTGGGGTTTCTGCTGAGGAAACCTGAGTGAACTCACTTTAGATGCATTTGGAATATTTGCATAAAAAATATTTGATTTTGGCAGCTCCAGGAACTACTGGAAGTGGGAAACAATGCTAGAATTGGGATAAAGCACACTGACTCATTACTCCTTTTTGTTACTATTAGGCATCAGAGATACATGTTTTGTTGATTTTAGTTAAAAAAATGAGATAAACTTGAATATGAATAGATTGGCTTCCTTGTTCAAGGAGCTACCTCTTGGATAAAATAGCTGTTTAATGAAACTTTTTTGGAGAATAACATGATACTCCGAAGAAGGCTATTTTAGAAACAAAAATTATGTTGAATTCTAATTAACTCCTAAAGTGATCATCTTCAATGAATATTGGAATGATTTCTGAATGTAAAACTCATTAATATCTAATGCTTGTAGCAGTTTTACTTTGTAGAAGTATGCCAAAATTGATAATTGATATTTTTCTTGAGGCTAATATATTATCCTTTGGTGCCATGAGTGGATGAAGAAACTTTCAGAATGCCAAACTAGTGGATACAAGAAACTTAAGCAAATTATTACACCACATGGGTGTGAGAGATAATGAATATTATCTGCTAGGTATCAGCAAAGAGATATCCAAGGTGATCAATTTAGGACACTTCCACTGAAGAGACGTGAACTGTATGTTCAACTGAAGTGTCATCATAATTGTGTGCCTTTTCAGTTATTGGGTAAGTTAAAGAGCATGACAAATGTTTGTAGTATAATGGTGTAAATCCTTCTGATTTCTTGCAAGAAAGACATGCGGGATCATGTACCACCTGCTTTGACATTGATTCTCAGGTGTGTGAGTTACTCCTCTGATTTGTCCTCGTCACTCGGCATATCCACATTGATACTGACACGGTTTTATTTTAGTTTTAGACGTATCACAAATCATATCATGTTTGAAATTGTAAGGGTATATTTTGTGAAGCCTGTGTTCCTTTTTTCTCAGTGTATTTCTGTCGTGTTCCAGTCTCCAGACAAAAAGTAGAAAACATCAAAGCCTACACTAGTACAGGCAAGAAGATACCAGCTTGATGCTAACACTGCATGAATGTATGGATAAATTTATCATATGTACATATGAGTGATTATCCCTTTTGCTTTTCAGTGTCTTCTCAGAAACAACCAGCTGAGAAGGTAATTAAAGTCTCATTTATATGTTGAACTATTAACTGTATAGTCTATGAAACCTACTTCATGTATCGATTACTTTGTTTCAAACCCCATTCAGGCTACCAGTGACGAGAAAGATTCTGTTTCGAATATAGCCACAGAAATAAAGGATGGACAACAATCTGGGACAGGTAATTTTGCAAAACACATTTAATGTCATGTTCAGTCAAAATAGAAAAGAACTTCTCTTCCCCGAATAAATCAGCCGGGGCGGGGGTGTGGCTCCTCGAAGCTGCATGTTCTGATTCAGCAGGCCTGAGATTCTTCATCTGTAATAAGTTCTTGGGTGACGTTAATGCTGCTGGTCTGGAACATGATCTTTGCAGTAAGATTATAGACTTCCCCACGTTGAAATTGGGAAGAAGAAATATGGAGAGCAGTTCAAGACATAAGGGGCTCAGGGAAAAGCATAATTTTGCTTTAACTCTACAGCATGGTTTCACTAAGAGTGGAAGGAGAAAGAGAGGAAGTATAGATTTTACAGACGTCACATCGTACTGCTAAAAAAAGACAGAAAACTGATCGTAATAACCCATAGACACTGTAGAATGAGAACTAAGGAGACCCCTGATGTAGCAATTATTTTCCCAAGGAAGACGGATCGTGAGGCAGGAAGGAGGGAAAAGAAGTTATTTATATAATTTTGGGGTTTCTGCTGAGGAAACCTGAGTGAACTCACTTCAGATGCATTTGGAATATTTGCCTAAAAAATATTTGATTTTGGCAGCTCCAGGAGCTACTGGAAGCAGGAAACAATGCTAGAATTGGGATAAAGCACAATGACTCATTACTCTTCTTTGTTACTAGGAGGCATCAGAGATACATGTTTTGTTGATTTTAGTAATAGAAATGAGACAAACTTGAATATGAATACATTGGCTTCCTTGTTCAAGGAGCTACCTCTTGGATAAAATAGCTATTTAATGAAACTTCTATAGAGAATAGTGTGATATTCCCAAACAAGACTATTTTAGAAACAAAAATTGTGTAGAATTCTAATGAACTCCTAAAGTGATCATTTTCAATGAACATTGGAGTGATTTCTGAATGAAAAACTTATTAATATCTAATGCTTGTAGCAGTTTTACTTTGTAGAAGTATGTCAAAATTGATAATTGATGATATTTTTCTTGAGGCTAATGTATTATCCTTTGGTGCCATGAGTGGATGAAGAAACTTTCAGGAGGCTAAACTAGTGGATAAAAGAAACTTAGGCACATTATTACACCAGATGGGTGTGAGAGATAATGAATGTTATCTACTAGGTATCAGCAAACAGATATCCAAGATTATCAATTTAGGACACTTCCACTGAAGTGATGTGAAGTGTACGTTCAACTGAAGTGTCATCGTAATTGTGTGCCTTCTCAGTTATTGGGCAAGTTAAAGAGCATGATGAATGTTTGTAGTATAATGGTGTAAATCCTTTTGATTTCTTGCGTGAAAGACATGTGGGATCATGTAGCACCTGCTTTGACATTGATTCTCAGGTGTATGAGTTGCTCCTCTGATTTTAAATCATGTTTGTCCTCATCATCGACATATCCACATTGATATTGACACGGTTTTTAGTTTTCGACATATGACAAATCATAACATGTTTGAAATTGTAAGGGTATATTTCATGGAGACAGTATTCCCTTTTATCAGTGTATTTCTGTCATGTTCCAGTCCCAAGACACAAAGTAGAAGACATCAGAGCCTACACCAGTACAGGCAGAAGGTTACAGCTTGATGCTAACACTGTGTGAATGTATGGATTACTTTATCATATTTATATATGAGTGATTATGTATCCCTTTTGTTTTTCAGTGTCTTCTCAGAAACCACCAGCCTTGAAGGTAATTAAACTCTCATTTATATTGTGAACTTTTAAATATATAGTCTTTGAAACATACTTCATTTATTTATTTATTATTTTCTTTCAAATTCCATTCAGGCTACAAGTGACGAGAAAGATTCTGTTTCGAATATAGCCACACAAATAAAGGATGGAGAAAAATCTGGGACAGGTAATTTGGCAAAACACGTTTAATGTCATGTTCAATCCACATAGAGAAGAACTTCTCTTCCCCGCATAAATCAGCGGGGGGAGGGGGTGGGGTGTGGGGTGGGGGCTCGCTGAAGCTGCACATTCTGATTGAGCAGGCCTGAGATTCTTCATTTGTAGTAAGTTCTTGGGTGACACTAAAGCTGCTGGTCTGGAACATGATCTTCGCAGTAAGACTACATTGAAATTGGTCTTACTTCCCCACATTGAGATTGGGAAGAAGAAATATGGAGAGCAGTTCAAGACATAAGGGGCTCTGGGGCACAACATAATTTTGCTTTAATTCTACAGCATAGTTTCACTAAGGCTGGAAGGAGAAAGAGAGGAAATATAGATTTTACAGATGTCACGTCGTACTGCTAAAAAAAAAGACAGAAAACTGATAGTAATAACCCGTAGACAGTGTAGAACGAGAACTAACAAGACCCCTGATGTAGCCATTATTATTAGGTATCTGGGCTTAATTCTCTGGGAAGCTATGTGGAACATGCCTCAGAATTACATCACTGAATCCAGGGAGATTCTTCTTAGTTACCCTCACCTTTTCTTCCCACTTCATGCCCAGTAACAAGCTCCCGTGCTGCTAGAGAAAGTCCTCAGCTAGAAACAGGTGCAAGTTCTGGAGATGAGACCTTGTAGAGTGTTAAGATTCCTTTTCTTCCCAGCAGCTACAAGTAAGGAATAGGGGCTGGGCTATTAATACATCTGCTACAAATCAATATACCCCTTATGCTCCTTTTGGTGATCAACAATGTATTTAAAAATATTAGATGATCAAGAAGGGCTGCAGAAAGGAGGAAACAGAAACAAACAGCACACCTCTTGGTTTATTTTTATTCATTTCATCAGTTTCAAGGAAAATGTGTTGGGAGTTCCTGGCATAGAGAATGTCACAAAGACATGTTTTCCATAGTGGTGCTATCCCTAGGGCAGAGAAGACCCAGAGAAAGCCCAAGTGGCTGCTGGAACAAAGTCAGACACCGTGCCACCTGTCCACACTCATTGGCTCTGTCATCATGCTGAAGATCGGTTGAAAGGACTGGCTTCCCTCCCCCCAAAATTAAAAGAGCACAAACTGAGAAACTGAATGTGGGAGACAGCAGTGGATTATGCTGTTCTCAGGGGTCACCTCAGGTTTGGAAGCATTCTTTCAAATTAACTCATCTCAGGACATCTGCAGAGAAGAAAGGTGGCACCTAACTTTTTTTCTTGTCAGCATTTGGTAGGGGTGTTTATTAACCAAATATGTTCCCACAACCTAGTTTTTTTGTAACTAAATATAGTAGATTTTTAAATTTTATCATCAAAATCTATAGACAATTTTTTATTAAAATAGACTCCACATCTATGTCCTGCTTTTCTTCTTCTTATTAATTACAGTGCTGTATAAAAGAACAAGACTTCAGAATCAAGAATATCTTGTCTCTTGGCATTGAATTTATACAAGGTGCTCTTTCTTTAATGCTGTCTCAAAGGACACATTTTTACTCATTAAAAAGGAAGATCGGAATCTAGTTGTATGCACTGCTCCAACATATTAATAATTAAAATTAGGAGGTAAATGTGGTCAAAGCTATAGAAAGACTTGAGATGTCATTTATATTGATTACTGTATAGCACTCTACAAACAGAAATTGTTAAATAATAGTTTATATAAATATTTTGTAGCATTTCAAATATTTTAGTGCCTGAAGTTTCTCCTCTTATATAGTTCAGATTATCAATTTGGAGACTTACTCCGCTAGTTAAAATGTTTTTAGTCTCGTTTGAGTATTATATAAAAGCAATTTTCAGTTAAATGTGTTCCGCTTACATAAAACATTACAAATTAGTGAGGATTTAATTACATTTTCATGTTCCTGTAATGTCTTTAGAAGATTTTCATATTATTACCTATCAATATATGTATGCTTTGTCAAAGAAAAGTCAAACATATATATCATTGAAATTGAAAATTTTTAAAAGTACTTATTAATTCTATTGAAAAATCACATCCATAGGAACAATTACAATATAATATTGTGAACATGTAAATATATATCCTATTTTATATATAAGCATATGATTACAAATATAGTTAAGAATTTTTAAACCTAGTATTATAAAGTAAAAATTAGTTAAACTTCTGATGATTATTTATTAATGAAGATAAAATTATTTTGATTTGGGTGATTTTAAATAAACAAAAATATTAAATTACATGACAAAAATTCTTTATAAAATATTTATGATTTTTACTTTGGTTTTATCACTTTATTCTACTAATTTATTTTAAGATGACCTGCCTTGTTTAAAACACTGTATTCATCTTAATTAAATTAAAATCCATTTGTAAAAAATTAACAAATGATTTGCTCTATTATACAGTGCCGTTATAAAATGAGTCAGTATCTCAAGATTTGATCCCCATTTTCATCATCTGTGGCCCTATTTGTTTTATAAATGTATTGTCTTTTTCCATGCCTGTCACATCTCTATTGCTCATTCATTTTTCTCTTTGTCCCTTATAGGGAGCATTGCCTATCTCTAGGTTAAGCAACAGTTGCATCTTAAAAAAGCACAATAACCTCCTCAGTCTTTCTCACACAGCGAAATGTTTGTTAAGTAATTAAAGTGTAGATGATGATACAAAGAGCTTGATTAAATTAGATGCCAAAGTACCCTTGTGATTCAGAATATGAATGGTATTTAATTTCTTTGAAATCAATAATTGCTGAGTGACATTAATTAATGCCAATATTTCAGAAGTTGTTCTAGTTAGTGAAATGTATACAACATGCAAAAGTTTCAGAACTCTGAAGGGCAACATTATTCTATAATTAAGAATTAAGAATTAATTCACATTAATTATTGGGGAGAAATAATTATTAAGAATGACAAAATGTTTTTATTTTTTACTTAGAAAATTATTTTGTGCATGAGCATTACTGCAAGTTTTGCAAGAAACATAAATTTAAAGAAACAATTATGTGCACAAGGTGAATTTAAAAACATCTGATATTTTCCATGATTACAGTTTTATTTGGTAAATCTTTAAATATACATCATCTAAAGATAATAAATGAATCTTGGAAATCTTGTAGGTAAGGGTAAATATTAGGATGCATCCAATTACATTTACACACACATACAATTACATTTACACACACATACATGCACACACACTCACTGATACACGTGTGTGTATATATACATGAATTTACTAAATGATTTTAACCAATATTTATACGAGCCAGTAGGATTGATATATATTGTTGAACCTGAAAAATATTTATTATATACATGTTTAAAATACACACAGAAATAAATAGTAATTGCACTAGGCATTTGAAACTGTACTAAAATATAAGCTGTGAACATTTTGTGATCATTACAAATTCTTACACTGAATATTTTTATTTTTATAATATTAATATGTTTGATACATGTGTACATTTTTTACAATGTATTATTTTATTTTTGTCATACAGTCATGTCATGCATAATAACATTTCAAAGATGGATTACATATACAAAAGTGGTCCCATGAGATTACAATACATATTTTTACATACTTTTCTATGTTTAAGTATGTTTAGATACATAAACTCTTATCACTGTGTTCTTACTGCCTGCAGTATTCAGTACAGTAATGTAGTACTCAGGTTTGTAGCCTAGGAGAGAGAGGCTATACCATTTAACCTAGACGTGGTAGGCTGTACAATCTAGGTGTTTGTAATATTCTCTGTGATGTTTGCAAAATGAAGAAATTGCCTATGGATGCATCTCTTAGAACGTATCCCTATCATTCAGTGATGTGTGACTGTACTAAAATGCTCAATCTAAGTTTCAATGCCCTCCATAAAATTGTTGTACTGTGAAATACAAATCTCTCACCCATGGCCTGAATATGTTTGCAAACTAAGCAGATCATGGGAAGGAGAATGTGCTGGCATCGCTGGGATGATTTTCTCACACTACATGAATAATATCTCCAGACTTCGCGAATATGAGCCACTTGCATAGAGTTAAAGTAGGCATCTCTTTGCTGGGAAATTTATCAAATGGCAGTATGAAGTGTTTTAAAAAGATACTTGTTTGTTTGTAGCTGGTAGGCCTATAGTGGCTCATGGCAATGGTTGAGGTTGCTAAGATTTGGTGGAAGGAGGCAAAATGAAATGGCCACTTATATGGTATATGGATCACTTGTTTCTGTTGAGTTACAGATTCAGCTGACTCTTTCTCCCAATGTTAGTTATTCGGAGAAAAAAAACATGATGGTAATTTTGGGGTGACAAATACAATATTTGATGAAAGCAAATTTATTGAGGGTTAGACAAACTACAAGATACTTTAGGCTGCAAAGTCAACACGAGACTTCTGGCCCAAATTGTGCAGAGTTTGGGTCCAGCTGCAAAGTTCAAAGGAAGAGGCCATATAAGACGATTCTCACTTTTGACACCAACTGCCAGTTCAGGGGTTTCCCCAGAACACCCTCAGTTTCAAGAATTTACTAGAAAGACTCACAGAACTCATTGAATGCCATTGTACTCATGGTTTGTAATAGAGAAAGGGTAGAAATTAGGACCAATCAAAGGAAGAGACATACCACATAAGGTGGATTCTAGGAGGATTTTGAATGTTAAGTTTCCATTGTCTTCAGGACATATTACCTGTCGTTGTACAGCAATAAACATGGAGTACTACCAACCTGGGGAGCTCACCTGATGCTAAAAAGACACTATTTAGAAAATGAAAAGACAAAGGAAAGGATGAGAGAAGATGACCTTCCATATTAAGGCACTGGAAAAAATAGCAAACTAAACCTAAAGCAAGCAGAAGGAAGAAAATAAAAATTAGAGAAATTAATAATTTATAAATTAATAATATTTGTTAGTATCGGATAATTGATATTAATCCTCGACTAACTTTTTTTAAAAGGAGAAATATTCACTTCCCAATTTATTCTGTGGGGCCAGTGTTACCTTGATACAAAAGTTAGTCCAAATAGCATAGAAAAATAAAACTATTATAAGTATAAATGCAAAATTCCTTAAAAAATACTAACAAATCAGATCTAGCAACATATAAAAGAATTATACACTATGACAAAGTGAAATTTATACTAGTAATCCCAGGTTGGTTTAACAGCCCAAAATCCATTAAGGTAATACATCTTATCCATAGAATAAGAAACAAGAATTGCATGATCATCTCGATAGATTCAGAAAAGACATTTAACAGAATCCAAATGCTTTAATGATTAAAAATAAAAATAAAAACTCAATGAACCAGGAATAGAGAACTTTCTACACCTGATACATGGCACCTGTGAAAAGCCAACAGCAAACATTCAACTTAGTGGTGAAAGAAAGGATACTTTCCCGCTATGGTCAGAGATAAGAATAAGATATATACTTTGACCTCTTCTAGTCAACACTGTACTAAAGATTTTATGCAGGACAAATCAGCAAGTAAAGAAGTAAGAGTCACCCATATTGGACAGGAGGAAATAAAACTTTATTTGCAAATAACATTCTTGTATATAGAAAATTTTAAGGAATCCACTGAATGATAGAACTAGTAAATTATTTCAGCAATATTACAGCATACAAGATAAATGTACAAAAATCAATTGCACACATCTACAATGAAAACCCCAAAATGAAATTAAGAAAACACTTCAATTTACAATAGCATCACAAAAAAAAATAATTAATTTGGAAAATGTGATACAAGAGTTTACTCTGAAAATTAAAAATTATTGTTTAAAGAAGATCTAAATAATTAGCAAATATCTTACAGCCATGAATTGGAAGATTTAATATTGTAGTACTTTACAATTTGAACTACAGATTTGATGAAATCCCTGCAAGTATCCCAACAGACTTCTGTCTAGAAACTGACAAGCCGATTCTAAAATACACATGGAATTGTAAGAGACTCAAAATAGCCAAAATAGTCTGGAAAAAAGAAAGATATTAGGATAATTCACACCCCCGTGCTCCAAACCTTACTGCAAGGCATCAGTAATCAAGACAAGACAATACTGATGAAGGAAAAATAGACTGTTGGAAGAGAATTGAGAGTCCATATATAAAACTATGTATCTATAGTCAATGGATTCTTACAGTGGTGCCATGTGCAATTCAATGAGGTAGAGACAATCTTTGAACAAACTGGGTTGACAACGTACACGTGGATCACCACTTGCAAAATAATAAATTCGAACCCTTACCCCAGAACATACAAAAATATTAACTCAAATGAATTAAAGACATACATGCAAGAGCTAGAGTAAAGCATATGGGAAAATCTTCAGGATTTTGGATCTAGCAAAGAAATAGCTGTAACACCAAAAACATGAGCAACATAATAAAAATTAGATATTTAAAATTTCTTAAAAATTAAAGACATTGGTGTTTCAAAGGACAACCAAGCAAGTCAAAAGGCAGCTCAAAAACTGTGGAAGATATTTGAAAAACACGTATCTATATGTCTGTATATATATGTATCTTGAATATAGAAAAATTGTTTTAACTCAGTAACAAATATCCCAACTCAAAACTGATAAATGATAGGAATAGATGTGTTTCCCAAGAAGATACACGAACGGTCAATAATCCCATAAAAAGATACTCAATAGCATCACTCATCAGGCAACTACAAATCAAAACCACAATTAGATACTCTATGGCTAAAACTGGCCACTTTGGAAAATAGTTTGTTGGCTTCTAAATATATTAAACATAGAATTGTCATATGACCCAGAAATTTATTCCTAGGTATACACCCAGATTATTGGAAAGAGGTGTTCAAACACAAATTGTACACAAGTATTTTTAGCAGCAGTATTTAAAATAGCCAAAGGCTGAACACAACTCGAATGTCAATAAAATATTATTGGATAAACAAAATGTTATATCCATGAAATTGAATGTTATACAGTTATAAAAAGAAATAAAGTACCAATACGCATATGAACCTTGATAGCATTATGCCAACTGAAAGAAGCCAGGCACAAAAGGCCACCTATTGTATGATTCTATTTAGATGAAAATAGAATAGGAAAATCTATAGAGACAGAAAACAGCTTTGTGGTTGCTTAGGATTGAGTAGGGGATGGGTGCATGGGAGGTTAACAGCTAAAGAAGGTGGGGTTTCTTTTTGAAGTGATGAAAATGCTCTAAAATTCATTGTGATGATGGCTCCACTTATCTGTGCATATACTAAAAGCCATTGACTTGTAGACATTAGTGTGTGCACTCTACACTATGTAAATTATGTCTCAATAAATCCTTTCAAAAATACACAGAAGACTAAGGGGTTTTGGAATGCTGCAGCTGGGAGGCAGTTTGAAATACTGAATAGGTCTCATCGAGAATGTGAGGTTTCAGTAAAGACTTGAGGAAGCTGAATGAGCTGATCAATGGATATATGGAGGGCTATCTTTCCAAGCCAAGAAATTAACTAGAGTCTTGGTCATAAGACAGCAGCATGTTGGCATGTCCAGAGGACAGTGAAGTGGCCAGGACCACTGGTAAGATCAAGGGTGAAGATATAAAAGAATTTTGGCGGTTAACATGCGGCAAATCATGATGGGCTTGCAGACCATTGTAAGAATTGTGGCTTTTAGTGTAAATGAAATGGGGAGACAAATCATTATCCCATTATCAATATTTTAATAAATTGGATCCATGAACCAAATCCAATGAGAGTAAATCAATTAGTAATAATATGTAAATTTGTATTAAAATTACAAGAATTACTTTCACATTTGAGAACAGAAGTCATGATTGTTCATCAGCAATAATCAACATTATTAATTTTAATTGTGATCAGCTAATTGAGATTAATTGCAATACATCATGCTTTATAATGTGACCGTCAAAAGGAAAATATGATTGTAATCTTATACTACATCTATCAATGTCTCTGATTCATAAGACTATAGAGTAAGCCCCTAGTTTTCAAAGCCAACTTATGCGGCAGTGACATCTTATGCAAGTTTGCTGCTTTCTGCCACAGTGGTCCTTGGTCAGCTGGCACAAATTGTTTTACAAATGCCACTAGGTCTAAAAAAAGTTTGGATCACAATGAACACAGAAACACCTTCATCCCTTCAGAAATATCTATCAATTACTTCCAATACAGAATGAAAAATTGACAAAGGAAATATGTTGATTGTAAAAATGCCAGTTACCTTGCATCTACATGAAAGAAAAATGCCATTTTTATTACATTAGATCATTGTTTTACATGAGTTTTGGTATAGCACAATGTTGAACCAAGGGCAAAGAGAGATGAATTAATGAAGTTTTAAGATATCAACGTTGGGGCAGGGCAAATCAGACTAGGACACCTCCAAGTCCAGCTCTGGCCCTGCCTTGGCCCTGGCCCCTTCCTGGCCTGACCTTGTCCCTGGCCCTGCCCTGTCCATGCCCTGTGTATTTTACCAGTGTTTTATAACCAGAATCCTACAAGAAACTTAAATCAGTTCTTTTTGTGCATTTTTAGTAGAGATGGGGTTTCACAATGTTGCCCAGGCTGGTTCCAAACTCCTGAGCTCAAGCCATCTGCCTGCCTTGGCCTCCCAAAGTGCTGGGATTACTGGAGTAATCTGGCCAAGTATTTAACTTCTTTATGCCTGTTTCCTACATTTGGAAAATGGGGATGGTTTAAGTACCTAGCACATAGAATTATTGTGAGAATCAATGCCTCACAAATTTACATATTGATAAAATTATACTCATAGAACAGTACTGGAAGCACAAATAGTATTAGTTAAAATTTAGTGATTATTTACTGCAAATATTATTACTATTACAAACAACATAGTATAGACATTATTACTACTACTATAGTTATCTTAAAAATCTAAAATAAACATTTTACATAATAGCCTAATGTAATCTCTCCTGCTTTGCCCCGGCTCAGCCCTAGTGCCGGCTCTGCCCCTAGTCCTACCACATCCCTGGCCCTGACCCTTCCCTGGTCCTGCCGCTGCCCCGGCCCTTCCCATCTTCAGGACTTACCATGGCCCTACCCTGGTCCTGACCCTGGCCCTACCCCAGAGAAGGGGTATGGCAGAGCCAGGGAAGGGCCGGGGCAAATAAGGGACAGGACACATCCAAATCCAGGAAAGGGCCAGGGCCATGACAGAGCCAGGGCGAGTCCTTGGCAGGGCCAGGTTCCAGGCCAGGGCCAGGGCCAGGAAAGGGTCATGACAGGGTCACTGTACAGCCAAGGTCCAGGCCAAAGCCAAGGCAGGGGCAGGGTTAGGCCTGCATAAGGGCAGGACCAGAGCCAGTGATACGGCAGGGCCAGGGCCAGGGCTGTGCCAGGACAGAACAAGAGCAGGGCGGGACCAGAGCCAGGCCATAGAGAGAGTAGGGCAAAGCCAAGCCAAGGCCAGGGTAGTGCCAGGGCTGAGGCAAGGTCAGGGAAGGTCCAGGGCTGAGTCAAGGCTGGAACCAAGACAGGGGCAAAGGTCGGGGCAGATCTAGGGCACAAGCGGGGCAGGCTAGGGCAGGGCAATGGCAAGACCAGGCCATGGCAGGGCCAGCCCAGGATAGAACAGGGCACAGGCAGGGCGGGGCTGGGGCCACGGCTGGGGCAGGACAAGGACCAGTACCGGGGTCCAGGCCAGGGCAAAGGTATGGCCGGGGCAGAGGTAGGGCCAGAACCAGGGTATGGGCAGGACCAAGGCAGGTCCATTGCAGGGCCAGAGTTCAGACCCGGGCCAGACCAGGGCTGGGATAGGGCCAGGGCCAGGGCCAGGACCAGGAAAGGGCAATGTCAGGACAAGGACCATGGGAGGACCAGCAACGGGGCTAGGGCCAGGACAGGGACAGGGACAGGGTCAGGGCTAGGGCCAGAATAGCATGCCAGGGTAGAGCCAGGCCAAATTAGGGCCAGGACAGGGTCAGGATCAGGGCTGGGCCAGGGTATGGCCTTAAGTAGCGAAGGGCCAGGGCCAGGGGGTCCATGCCAGTGCCAGCGCCGGTCCAGGGCAGAGGCAGGGCCATGGCCAGATCTAGGACAAGGCTGGGGCAGGGCCAAGGTCTGGGTCAGGGTCAGCACAAGACCAGGACAGAGACAGGAGAGGGACAGGGCCATGGTAGGACCAGGTTAACTCAGGGACAAGACACCTGCAAATCCACTTCAGGGCCAGGGTCAGGGCAGGGCCAGTTCAGGGCCAGGGCCAAGACAGGGTCAGGGCCAGGGCCGTCAGGGCCATGGCAGGACCAGGGTCAGGAGCAGGGGCCAATGCCAGGCCAAGGCCACAGATAGGACCAGGTCTGTGCTAGGGCCAGTGTGTGGGCCAAGGTGGGGTCAGGGCAGGGCCAAACGGAGGGCAGGGTGGAGCAGGTCCAGGGTAGCACAGGGTTAAGGTAGGACACGACCAACCAGGGCAGGTCTATGGCTGGGTCCAGGGCAGGGCCAGGGCCAGGGCAGGGCCAGAGCTGGGGCAGGGCCAGAGCCAGGGCAGGGCCGAGACAGTGGCAGCTCCCGGGCAGGGCCAGGGTTAGGACCACGGACATGTCCAAGGCCAGTGCCAGGGCAAGGGCAAGGGCAGAAGCAGGGTCAGGGTCATCTGAGAACCAGGGACAAAGCCAGGCCCAGAACAGGGCCAGGACAGGTACCTGGCAGGGCTAGGGTCTGGGACAGGGTCATGGCAGGGCCAGGACCACAGCCAAGTCTGTGCTATGGCCAGGTCCAACACAGTGCCGAGGGAAGGCTAGGGTGAAGGCCAAGGTATGGCCAGGGCAGGGTCGAAGCCAGGCTAGGGCCAAGGCAGGGCCAGGAAAGCATAGGGCCAAGGCAGGGCAGGGCCAGGCCAGTGCCAAGACCTGGGCAGGGCCAGGGAACAGCCAGGTCAGGGTCAGGGCCAGGGCCAGGGCCAGGGCTAGGGCCATGGCCATGGCCTGGGCAGGACCAGGTTTGGGGCAGGAGCAAAACAAAGGCAAGGACAGTGCAGGTTCTTGGCACAGCCAGGGTCCAGGACAGTGTCAGGGCAGGGCCAAGGCAGGGTCTGGGCCATGGTAAGACCAGCAACAGGGCTGGGGCTAGGCCAGTGACAGGACCAGAGTCAGGGCAAGCGCCAGAGCAGTGCAAGGCCAGGGAAGGGCCAGGCATTTCAGGGTCAGGGCCAGAGGAGAACCAGGGCAAGGTCTCAAGCAGGGAAGGGCCAGGGCCAGGACAGGTCCAGGGGCTGTGTTAGGGCAAAGGCAGGGCCAGAGCAAGGTAAGGGTCAGGGCCAAGGCCAGGGTAGGGACAGGGCAAGAAATATGGCAGGACTAGGGGCAATGCCAAAGCCAAGGCTGGCCAGGGCTGAGCCAGGGCTGAGTCAGGGCAGGGCAGGGCAGGGCATGGTATGGCCAGTGCAGGACAGGACAAGAGCCGGTCCACAGAGAGAGCAGGGCTGATGCCAAGAAAGAGCCAGGCTAGTGCCAAGGCTGAGGCAGTGTCAGAGCATGTCCAGGGCAGGGCCGGGGCCAGGGCCAGAACCGAGGCAGGGCACAGCCAAGGCAGGGTATGGCAGGGAAATAGCATGGCCAGGTCAGTACTGGGACAGGGCAGAGCAGGGAAAGGCGATGGTAGTGGCAGGGCAGGGACAGGCCAATGCAGAGCCATGTCATGCCAGGGCCAGGACACCTCCAAGTCCACTTCAGGGCCAGGGCTATGGCAGGACAAAGACCAGAGCCAGGGTCAGGGCCAGGTCTGTGCTAGGGCCAGCTCCAGAGCAGGGCCTAATGAAGACTAGGGTGAGGGCCAAGGTAAGGCCAGGGCAGGGTCAAAGGCAGAGTAGGGCCAGGGCAGGGGGATGACACATCCAGAGCACAGCAGGGCAGGGTGATGGCAAGACCAGGGGCAGACCACTGCCAGCTCAGGGCCAGGGAAAGGCCAGTGCAGAGACAGGAAAGGGTCTGGGTCTGGGTCAGGGCCAGGAACAAGGCAGAGCAGGGCCAGGGCCATGGCAGAGTCAGGGCAGGTCCTTGACAGGACCAGGTTCCAGGCCAGGGCCAGGGCAGCAGCAGGGGCAGGGCCTGGATAAGGGTAGGGCCAGGGATATGCCAGGACCAGGGCTAGGGCCAGGGACAGGCCATAGTGAGGGCAGGTCAAAAGCCAAGGCAGGGTCACGGCAGGTCCAGGGAGCGGCCAGCACCAAGCGGGGCCAAGGCACAACCAGTGCAGGGTAAGGCAGGGCAATGGCACCACTGGGCCATGACAGGGCAAGGTCAGTGCCAGGAGAGGGCAGAAAAGGCAGGCCCATGGTGGGGCCAGGGCAGGGATGGGCCAAAGCAGGGCCAGGATATGTCCAAGGCCAGGTCAGGGCCAGAACAGGAGCAGGACCATGACCATTGGCAGGGCCAGTGCCACAACAGGACCAGGGTCAGGACAAGGGGCAGGGCCAGAGCCAGGGCCAGAGCCAAGGTCAGGCCAGTGCAGGTTCAGGGCACAGCCAGTGCCAGGGTAAGACCAGGGCAGGGACAGGGTAGCACAGGGCCAAGACAGAGTCAGGATGGGACCAGAGCAGGACAGGGCCGAGAGTCCAGGTAACAGTAGGGCAGGTACAGGGCAAGGCAGGGCAGTACAGGGCCAAATCCATGGCAGGGGCAGGGAAAAGCCAGGCCCATTGCCAATGCACCAGCCTTCCCTACAAGGCTCCTACCACCTGGCCACTGCTGCAGCCCGTCCATGGCTGTAAGCCTGACCCCCAACCCTGGCTGCAGCCGCCTGCCCTCCTAGCGCGGCCGCTCTCCTACCGCTCTGGCGCACTGCAGTCTCTGTCGCTGCCACCCACCCGCAGTGAGGCAAGTCGTGGTGTCGCAGGCTCTAGGTGTCTCCTCCTCCTCCTGGCATGGAGCAGCTGGGTGGGCAAAGCCAGAAAAGCCTAGAGGAAGATGTGAGGGGTGGAAGGGTTAGAGCCTCAACTTGTCATGCTGGCCACTGGGTGGCAGGGGCCAGTTTCAGCAAAGGCACTCACACCCACCCTCCAAAGTCCAGCCTCTCCTTTTGGCCCAAGCTGGCCAGGAACTGGGGTCTGGGGAGGGTGCTGGAGACACCACAGCACCCAGCTCCCCACTCCACAGGAACCATTGGGCCCACCGGGGCTGCACTCCTCGGGGAGCAGGAGAAGCAGAAAAATTCAGACCCAGCCAGCCCTCTGCACCCAGGTGCCAATTCCTGTTCCAGACGCCTCCACACACAGGGCCCTGTCCCCCGTGGTGTCCCCAGGGGTGCCTGGCAGCCTCTGAGGCACAGACCCAGAGTGCACAGGCCCAGGAACCACAGTGGGTGTGGGGGCTCTGCCATGCTCAGGATTCCCACGCAAATGCTGTGGTGCCCTGCTGCACTCCAATATGACCAAGAGTGGGTCGCCCTCTGGAGTGTGGAGTCAGGGAGAGGAGAACCACTCCTTCCTTGGATGCCAACTCTCCTGACTGCTGCCAGCAGTGCAGCCCCTGATAGCACCGAACTCGCCCCCCCTCCACAGCTAGTCCTGCCCTCAATAGCGCCCCCACCTCGGTCCCCCAATACCGCCAGTAGCGTATACCTGATAGTGCCCTAACCTGTCCTCCTCCATGGGCATTGTAGCCCCAGAAAGCACCCATAACCCACTGTCTCTGCCGTGGGAAGTGCAGCCCTGTACAGTGCTACCAACCAGTACCCCTAATGCAGGCAATGACACCCTGGATAGCACCACCAACCCACCCCACACTGCGAAAGGTGCAGCCCTGGATAGTCCCTGTCCTACCACTCTGGTCGTGCTGCAGTCTCTGTCACCACCACCACCAACCACAGTGAGGCAAGCCAGCGGGCCACAGGCTCTAGCACCCAGCAGCCAGGCATGGAGCAGCTCTCGCTGATGGCCGGCTCCTACCACTCTGACCACGCTGCTGTCTCCGTGGCCATCTTCTTTGACTACTAGGAATAAAACTAGGTATCAATAAGAAGAGTAATTTTGGAAACAATACAATCACATGGAAGTTAAGCACTACTCTCCTGAATAAATGACTAGCAGGTCAATGAAGATACTAAGACAGAAATTCAAAAATTTCATGAAACAAAGGGTAATGAAAACACAGGATACCAAAACTTGTTACGCAGAAAGCAGTACAAAGGCAGAGATTTATAGCTATAAGTGCCTACCATCCAAACAAAAGAAAAACTTCAAATAAACAATACATCTTAAAGAACTAGTAAAGTAAGAACAAACTAAACTGAAATTAATAAAATAAATAAGATCGTAGCAGAAATAAAATTGAAAGAAAAAACACAGAAGATTAAACGAAAAGCTGGTTTTCTGGAAAGCTAAACAAAATTGACAAACTTTTAACCAGGCTAAGAAAAGAGACAAGATTCAAATAAATAAAATCAACAGATTAAAAAAAGGAGACATTACAACTAATACTTCAGAAATTTAAAGGATCATAACTGGCTATTACATGCCAATAAATTGGAAAGCCTAGTAGAAATTGGCAAATTCCTAGATGCATACAACCTACTTAGGTCAAACAATGAAAACATCCAAGACCAGAACAGATTGGTAACAAGTAATGAGATTGAAGCCATCAGAAAAAGTCTCCCAGTAAAGAAAAGCCCAGGAACTGATGTCTTCACTGCTGATGGCTTCACACCAAACAATTTAAAGACCTAGTACGAATCCTGCTCAAACTATTTTGAAAAACAGGAGGGAATACTTCCAAACTTATTCTATGAGACCATTATTACTGTGATACCAAAATCAGACAAAGGCATCAAAGAAGGAAACTACAGGCCAGTATCTCTAACATTGATACAAAAATCCTCAACAAAATACCAGTGAATCAAATTCAGTAATACATTAAAAAGATAATTCATCATGATCAAGTGAGATGTATCCCTGGGATGCAAGGGTCACTCAACATACAATGTGATATGTCATATCAACCAAATAAACCACAAAAACAGTATGATCACGTCAACTGAAACTGAAAAAGCATTTGATGAAATTCAACATCCCTTCATGCTACAAATCTTCAAATAAACGGGCACAGAAGAAACATACCGCAACATAATAAAAACTATAGGAAAGACACCCACAGCTAGAATCATATGGAATGGGGAAAAATGGAAAGTTTTTCCTCTAAGATCTGGAACATGATAAGGATGCCCCCTGTCACCACTGTTGTTTAACATAGTACCAGAAATCCTAGCTAAAGCAATCAGTGCAGTCCCTGATATGGCCCCCAACCCACCCTGCCCTCTACCACCTTCAGTGTAGCCCCCCCCAATACCACACCCAACATACCCAAACTGCCTGGCCTCCCCGCACCATGGGCATTACAGCACCCCATAGCGCCCTCGACCCGAAACCGCCAACCCCCCACAGCCGCACAGCGCAGCCCCCGATAGCACACTTAGCCCACCTCACTGTTGCCAGCAATACAGTCTGGGATAGTGCCCCCAACCGGCTCCCCGCCAAAGGCAGTGCAGCCCCGGTTTGGGCCCCCAAACCACCCCCCCTGGTGCAGGCAGCACAGCCCCAGATAGCACACCCAAACAGCCACCCAGGACAGGCAGTGACGCCTGAGATAGGGCTCCCAACCCGTCCCAGGCCACCCGCAGTGCAGCCTGGATAGCGCACTTACTCCGACGCCTTTCTACGCTCTGGCTGGCTGCAGCGTCCATCGCTGCCACCAACCGCAAACAGGGCTACAAACAGGAAGGATTTTATTCACCCTCGATGTGGCCCCGAGTTGTCCCAAAGCGAGGCAGTGCCCCCAAGGTCTGTGCAGAGCAGAACGCAGCTCCACCCTCACGGTGCCACCGGCCCGCCCGCCCGGGTTTGTGCTGAGGGAACACTGCTCTGCCTTCGCTGTATCTCCGAAGTCTGTGCAGAGTAGAACTCAGCTCCGCGCTCACGATGCTCTTCGGGTCTGTGTTGAGGAGAACGCAGCTTCGCCCTGGCAAAGGCACACAGCGCCAGCGCCGGCGCGGCGGAGAAGCGGACAGCGCGGGCGCGGCGGAGAGGCGGACAGCGGCGGAGAAGCGGACAGCGCGGGCGCGGCGGAGAGGCCCACGGCGCCGGCGCAGGCCCAGGCTCCACTCCCCAGCTGTGAAAGGGTAAGAACTGAGGGTGGCTGAGACTCGGGGTTGTTCAGGGCGGGGTGGGCTCTGGACCCAGTAGGCCCTGCACCCAGGTCAGGGCTCCAGGGGAGGCCAGGTGGGGCGAAGGCCAAGGAGGTGCCGGGGCTGGTCAGGAAGGGCTCCTGGTGACCAGAGCACTTTGCGTAAGCCAGCGTGGGAGGGAGGTGGGCTGGATGAGCCAGGGAGGCGCCGGAAGGGGCCTTGGCAGAGGCGACCCCCTCCGTCAGCCCCCAGGCCACTGAACCCTGGGTAGCGAGAACCGACAGGGGAGGCTGCAGACAGAGGAGTGGAGGCTCCCCGGCTTTGGGGGCTCTGAGTAGAAGCATCTAGGGGGTCCCTCAAGAGGCCCCCAAATGCTTCCCCGTGGTGAGAAAACAAGGCGCAGAGAGGCGCACGGCGCTGGCGCCGAGGGCCGCACAGCGAGATTTGCTGTGATTTCTTTTATTGCCCCAAATGTACTTCATCTTGGTAGATTTCTATTGGCTTTAAAAATGTGTGTGTTTTGCTGTTGGGGAGTGGGGTGTTATACGGATGTCAGATTTTGCTGGTTGAACTGTTCAGATCTTTTGTAAATCCTTGCTCCTTTTCTGCCTAGTTTCACTCTGTCACTTACACTAGAGTGCGGTGGCACGAACAAGACTCCCTGCAGCCTTGACTTCCTAGGCTCAAGTACTTCCCCTGGCTTAACCTCCTGAGTAGCTGGTACTATAGGTGTGTGCCGCCACACCTGGCTAAATTTAAAATTTTTTGGAGAGATGAGGCCTTGCTATGTTGCCCAGGCTCGAACTCCTGGCCTCAAGCTATCCTTTGTCTTTGCCTCCCAGAGTTCTGGTATTACAGGCGTGAGCCACTGTGCCCGGCCTCTGCCTAGTTTTAACAGTTGCTAAGAGGAGGATGTTGAAGTAGATGTCTTCTTGGTGGGTTAATCCTTTTGTCATTAAGCAGTTGTTAGGGTCACTTCCTTTTCACCCCATTGGTGAAGGAGGGGTCCCTGCCCTAAAGTGTAGGAGATGGCTGAACACGACGCCTGGCGTGGATGGATGAGATTGACAGCAGTGTTTTAGTCACATATACCCACAGCTCAGAGGAGGACACTGCATGCCACACAGGGTCAGATGGGCACCGCACTCTGTATTGGAGTGAGGGCTGCGGGCTGAGGAAGCAGGCAGGCTTGGTAGTAACAAGAGCACACAATGACCAATGGTTCCCGAGGGGGCATGCAATTGGCTTGTTTGAATAAATTCATGGGCTGGCAGACAGGTGAAGTGAAACTTTTTAGGCTGAGGTGCAAGTGTTCTGGCTGATAAAAGAACTAGCCAGGTGGGGAGCCTTTCCTGTTGGGTGGCCGGGTAGGGGGTGTCTGGTAGAAATAGGAAAACCTATGGCTAGGCCTTTGGGGCCCTGTGAGGCTCAAAGATGTCAAGACAGCATAGGAAATTTTAGATCTTAAAATTCAGCCAAGACCCTCTCCAGCTCTGGTAAATTATTTTGCTTGAAGTCTACTTCATGAGATATTAATATATTCACTCCTGCTTCCTTAAAAAATTAACGATTTCACAGGATATCTTTCTCCATTCTTTTACTTTCAACCTACTTAGGACCTTAAGTGAGTTTGAATTTTCTTATGAAGAGTATTTAGTTGGACCATGTGTTTATTATAGGCTCTCCATCAATCTGTCTTTTGGTTTATTTAGACCATTTACATTTAAGGTGCTTATTGTTACATAATTGCTTATGTCTGATGTTTTTATTATTTGCTTTGTTGTTTCCTTTTTCTTTCCCTCCATCTTGATCTATTTCTGTATAATGTTGTTGCGTGTATCTCTTTGTATAGTCTTAAAGTGTTTGCTCTGGATGTTAACAATATGTGCATTGTAATATAGTAGTCTACTGGTACCAGTATTTACCACTTCAAAGTGTGGAAACCTGCCTTGCATTTATGTCTCTTTACCTTTTCCACTTGTATAAATCACTGGCTTGAGTATTAGGTGGTGGTATAGTTTTTGTTTCAGTCGTCAAATGTGATTTTAAGAACTGTGGATTGTCTCGCGTATGTATCCACATTTCTGGTCTTTCCTTTGTCCCTCCTCCCATAGTCCCATATTCATCCCTTCTGCATAAGAACTTTCTGTAGCCATTTTTTTATTTTGATTTTTTTGTTTTAATTTTTTGTATTGTGGAAATGACACAACATATTTCTGTAGCCACTTTTTAGCATTTCTAAATTGACCGGTGACAAATTCCTATATTCTCTTCCTCTCAGAATGTCTTTATTTCTCTCTTCATTTCTGAAGGGTAGTTTCATGGGATATAGAATTTGCAGCCAACAGTTTTTTTGTTTGGTTGGTTTTTTGTTTGGTTGTTTTTTTTTAAGCACTTGAAAATGTTGTGCCACTTCCTTCTGGCCTCCATGGCATTTGAGTTGGCGTGTCCCTACAGGCATTCTGCCATTTTTGGTCTTTGTTTTTAGTTTTGAGAGTTTAATCAGTGTTGCTTTCTTTTGGTATACTTTGAGGTTTGCTCAGCTTCTTGAATCTGTAAGTTTATATCTTTCACCAAATGTGGGAAGTGTCAGGAATTAGTTATTTGCATGCTTTCGCAGCTCTGGTCTCCTGTGGGACTCAGATAACATAAATGTGGGGTCTTTTGTTATCATCTCACAGGTCCGTGCAGCTCTGTTCATTTGTTTTCAGGTTATTTCCTATCTATTGTTTAGGCTGGGTGAATTCTGTTGATCAGGTTTCAGCTTCTCTGATTCTCTCCTCTGTCGTCTCCACTTTTACTCAATAGAGCCCATCCAGTTAGATTTTTTTTAAATTTCTGTTACTGTATTTCATATTTCTGTAATTTCCATTTGATTCTTCTTCAGTTTCTTTGCTGATGTTTTCAGTTCTTTGATTGTTGCTGTAGGATTTGTAGTTGCTTGTTGAAGCACTTTTATACTGACTGTTATAAGTGATGAGTCAGATGGTTCCAACATCTGCCTATGTAATTTTTTTTATTTTTGCAGGCAGTCTTCCTGTTTAGGTTTAGTCTGTAGGTCTTGGTCTACTTTGTGGGCTGAGATTCCAATGGCAATTTAATTTCAGAGCCTTCATGGTGTTATTTTGGTCTGTTTGGCTTATATGTATCACTGGGATTCTCCCACCAGTCCCTGCTGTTGCCCACCTGAGGGAACAGGGGAGCTGCCCCAGGCTGGGCCACCTGCTGCAGCTAGATGGGTGGGGAATGGTGGTTGTCTTGGTGTGTGGAGCTGGTTTTCTTGTTGTGGGGAAGATCTCCTTTGATCTGCGGGGACTGAGTCTGCCTGGGTTGCCTTCTATTGCTACGTTAGGAGTTGGGAAACTCTGGGCCTGGGTCACCTTCCTATTGGATGAGGTCCAGGGAGACACCTGGCCACTATGCATTCCCTAGTCCTAGAGTCCCTCAGCAGCCTTTTTCTGTCCACCTTTTGGAATTCTCCATTGATCATCTCCTGTCTATTATTTCTAGAGTTTGGGTTACATTTCTTAGGAGGGTATAATGTATTATCTTCTCTAGACCAGAAATCCTTAGTGGTGGTTTCGGGTTGTAACTGTGCTAAAGGGAGAATTGGCGTATTTGTGATGTCGAGTCTTTCTTTTCAAATGAGGACATATCATTATTCAGTAAATAATATTTACAACACCTACTTCCTTGGGTTGAAGAATGTGGTTAAGGCAAGGAAAGTACTTAACACAGTGCCTAGTGTGGAGAGCACTTACAAGTGTTGGTAGTGATGCTATTCCTTTTGTCCTTTGGTAGCATATTAAAGCTTTTCTTTTTTTTAAAAAAAATAAAGTTCCAGTGCACTTCTTGTGAGGTTTATTCCTATTTTATCCTTTTTTGCTTTTATTACAAATAGGAGCTTCCTATCTTTTATAACGTCTACCTGGTTCTTTGGCCCTTATGTGAAAATGTTTTAATAGCTTTCTAAACATTGCTCTCCCAAATGAGTTTTAACTTGCCTCTTTCTTTTGTTTTCCTTTTTTTGAGACAGGGTCTCACTCTGTCACCCAGGCTGGAGTTCAGTGATGCAATTATGGCTCACTGCAACCTCTGCCTCCCGGGCCCCCAAAGTGCTGGGTTTACAGGTGTGAGCCACTGCACCCAGCCTTACCTGTCTATTTCTTTTAAGAGTGGGAATTATAATTGAGCCCAGAGCTCCAACAACAAATGAAGGAATGAATGAGTGAATAAGCTCTTCCCATGGGTTTGGTGTGGTTTGGGGCTCTACTCTTAATCTAAATGCTATGTTTTATATAATCTAAAATTTCCCCTAGGTGTGTTACATGATTGTGTTGTGTTGAACTTACATTGAGACTCCTTTTCACATATGCTGGTTATCAGCGTGGGACTTTTCCATTCACTCTTTGAATTATTCGCTTGGGGGACACAGATAGACCTCTGTGTCTTTCATAAAGAGTGTCCATTGGCCGGGTGCAGTGGCTCATGCCTGTAATCCCAGCACTTTGGGAGGCTGAGGAGGGCAGACCACGAGGTCAGGAGTTCGAGACCAGCCTGGCCAATATGGTGAAATTCCCTCTCTACTAAAAATACAAAAATTAGCCAGGCCTGGTGGCGGGTGCCTATAATCCCAGCTACTCGGGAGACTGAGGTAGTAGAATTGCTTGAACCTGGGAGGCAGAGGTTGCATTGAGCTGAGTTCATGCCACTGCATTCCAGCTTGAGTGACAGAGTGAGACTCCATCTCCTAAAAAACAAAAACAAAAACAAAAGAGTGTCCATTATCTATACTGGAAAAATTGAGATTGGGATTTTGACATGAAGTGCAGAAATGTGGATTGGGTCCATTTAGTTTACCTAAACAGATGATGAAATACTAACTGTTCTACGAAGCATTCCCTAGTGCAAAGTTTTGCCTGTGTGTGTAGTGACGGGAACAGTGAGAATGAGGCTTGGAACGTGGAGCGCATTGTGGGCCTGTTGTGGGTGGGGCCAGCAGCACATGCATGCCTGGCTCACAGAGCAGCCTTTGGGTGTTCTTTTCCCAGAGGAGCTCTATGGTGACTTTGAAGACTTGGAAACAGGGGATGTGCACAAGGGAAAATCGGGCCCCGATACTCAGGTATGACTTTGTCGTAGCTGGCTGTTCTTGGTCATTGTGTTCTGAGAGAGGCCCACATTGAGAAATGCAAATCTTACTTGTGATGTGTGAAGATTGCAGACTGGATGGATAGATTCCTTCCTAAAGGGTGGGGATGTGGGGACCAAAGAGAAGCTTTCTTGTTTACTTGTTAAGTTTTGGATGACAGTTACTACTGTTTCTTGCCATAGTCATTTGCCAAGTCCACTGTGATTTTTCACTCACAGAAGTCTTAGCTTCTCAGACTTACATTCAACCATTGCCATCATTCTCCTCTTTTTAATTTTAAGTGTCATTTAAATGAATGAAGTCCCTGTTCTCCCTAATATTTCTTTAGAACAGGTTCTGGGAACATCTGGGTGAGGGACATGTCTGTTATTTTTATTCTAGTTTGTGTTCCCAGCCAGCTTAAGGAATAGCAGCTAATTGTAATGCAGATGTAACAATTTCCTGTAGCAGTACCATGTTATTCAGAGAAAAAAGGTTGTGTTGTGGTTTGTTTCGTTTTATTGATAATGGTAACAGATTTTTGCTAAGATTTTTGTTTAAATAGAACTTTAAAAAATCTAATGTTTAAAGAAAAGACCTTCATAAACATACACAAAATTTTTTCTTCTGGAAATTTAAGAATGAAGATATAGAGAAACAAGGAAGAAATTGACCCCGACAAAGAAGAAAGTGCCAAGAAAAAGCATTTGGATAAGAAGAGAAAATTGAAGGAGATGTTTGATGAGGAATATGATGAAGGAGAAAGCACATATTTTGATGATCTTAAAGGAGAAATGCAGAAACAAGCACAGGTGAGAAACCTCAGTTCCTCTCAGCCCCTTGTCAAGACTGTCACATAGTGCAGGAATCCCTGACTTTCTTTGGGTCCCTGCTTCCTATCCTGCTTCTGTGCCTTTCATTTGGACTCCTGGGTAGATGTATGTGAGTGTGTTTATTCATGCAGTGAGCTCATTGTTTCTACAGTCAGAAGGTCACCAGAAAAAGATCCATATCTATTTTGTAACAAGAATTAGGAAACCGAAATGACTGAAACATGGTCTCTACTTTTGAGACTTTTACAATGTAGTGATCTGAGACAGTGTGTTCATTTCAGTGCAAGCCAATGCTGCCTATTCTGATCGCTGCTCCCTGATTTGAGTGGCAGGTGATCAGTGGCCTGTGTGGCTTATGGACACACCAGAGCTCCCAGGGGAAGTGCTCTGAAAACTCATCCTGGTCAGAGTTCAGAAGGACATGTGGAGTATAAGGTCAGATGCGGAGATAAGGGAGATGGTGTGGCCCTCCTGCCTGGGGGTGCTGAGCAGGTTGTTGGAGGCAGTGATCTCACTCTGAAGGAGACAGACACAGAAACATGTGTACAGTTGATGGTAAGCATCTGAGTTGTGTCTTGTTAGCGAGGCCAGGAGTGCCTGTGTAAGCTGGAACAGATTAGGTATATGATTTGTGAAATGGAGTTTCATCCTAGATCTTCATCTAGTCAAAGTACTGTTTCCTGATTAAGCATTAGCTTAGTGGTTGCTAGTCTGTGTTGACCTTTGAAAGGCATGACTAGGCTAACTGAAGTTTTTGCTTCACACCATTTACAATTTAAAACTACCCAGAGCCTTGTGAGCCATTGGAAAAGACTGAATGTTTCACTCTGAAATGGGAGTCCTTGGAGGGTTTTGAGCAGAAGAGAGACATTCGGGTAATCAGATCACTCTGCCAAGAGATCAGTCTGGTAGAGATCAGTCTGGTGGCACAAACCAGAGGGCTGACAGTGGAGATGAGACAAAGAGTCAAACCTGGATAGAGTTTATTTGGAAGCTGGCTCAGCAGGATTTCCTGGTGGACTGAATGTGGGGTGTGTGAGAGGAAATGAGGATGGCGACTGGAAGTTCCTGGAAGGATGGGTTGTTGCAGGTTAGATAGGAAACCCTCTGCAGATGTAGTTTTGGGAAGATGATGTTTGGTTCGGCTGGGTATCATGCAGACAAGCGGAGTGTCAAGTCTGGAGAGACAGGTCTGGCCAGGGACTTAGATATACAGCCCTCAGCATGTAGATGCCACTTAACGCTGTGAGGTGGCCGGGGAGTGAGTGCAGAGTGACTGGGAGGAGCAAGACTGGCATGGGCGAGATGGGGCGATTGCGGCCGTGAGGCCTGAGCAGTGCCTAGGAGGGAGAGGGAGAAGCAGTGTGAGCATGCAGGCACACAGGAGTCCAGTTGTACACAGAGGCGAAGCACCGTTCAGATCCCCTGCTGTGTTAACTACGGTGAAAGCAGAGTTGACCACTGGAGGAGTCCTTCAGCGTGGAGGCCTTCAGCGATCTTGGCAAACACCAATTTTCATGGATGTAGGAGAATGGGAGCAGAGGAACTGGAGGCTGCAACTGCAGAAAACTTTTGTGGGGTTTTGCTGCAGAGAGAAGCAGAGAAATGAAGCAGTTGTTGGTGGAAGAAGTGGAATCAAAAGGTTTTGAGAAAAGAGAGAGAACAGAGGGAAGAGCTGTTGGAATAAAGTCCAGGAAGAGTGGATGGTGTCTAGTGAGCAAGTGATGTGTGGCCCTGAGTAGAGGCATGGACAAATCATCTGTGCCTGAGCTGCCCATAAAACTTTCTGTGATCATGGAGATGCACGTCTGTGCTTCCCAATATTGTAACACTGGCCGCAGGTTGATATGGGCCGCTTCCAGTGTGACTAGTGTGATTGAGGAACTGCATTTTAAATATTATGTAATTGTAATTAATTTTAATTTAAATAGCCACACATAGCTCCTCTATGGGCCAGGTCAGAGCTCTGATAAGGCTGGATATGGGAGGAAACCCTGGTAGAGGGTTGACCGTAGAGGTTCTTTTGGTTTTGGAGTGAATCAGGAAACAGCCATCAGCTGAGTGAAGGTGAGGATGGTGGTGGGTGTTTGAAGACAAGGGAAAAGTGTGAAAGAATTATTTGGAGAGGAAGGAAAGAAGGTGTGGACTGGGGATGTTTCCAGTGTTCAAGCACGCAGGGCTCCACAGTTATCTACATTTGCCGTGCCTTGTAGCAGGAGAGAAGAAAACGGTTGAGACATATTCTGAACAGACTGTAGAGGTAAAATGTGTAGGTTTTTTTTGTTTTTTTGTTTTTTGAGATGGAATCTCGCTCTATTGCCCAGGCTGGAGTGCAGTGGCATGATCTTGACTCACTGCAACCTCCGTCTCCCAGGTTCAAGCGATTCTCTCACCTCTGCCTCCTGAGTAGCTGGGACTACAGGCACGCACTACCACACCCAGCTGATTTTGGTATTTTTAGTAGATATGGGGTTTCACCATGTTGGCGAGGCTGGTTTCAAACTCCTGACCTCATGTGATCTGCCCGCCTCAGCCTCCCAAAGTGCTGGGATTACAGGCATGAGCCACTGTACCCGGCCAAATGTGTAGTATTTTTAATAGGATAAAGCCTACATAATTCTGTCCACAGTTCCTTTACTTAGAAATTGCTCATTTGTTCATGTTAATCCTATGTTTATTACAGATAACAGCATACAGGTTTTTTTCCCCCCGTCATGTACAGCTGAATCGCACAGAATTTGAAGATCAAGATGATGAAGCCAGAGTTCCTTATGAGTGTTTTCGACCTGGGATGTACGTCCGCGTTGAGATTGAAAATGTTCCCTGTGAATTTGTGCAGAACTTTGACCCCCATTACCCCATTATCCTGGGTGGCTTGGGCAACAGTGAGGGAAATGTTGGAGACGTGCAGGTGGGTCCCTTTGCTGCATATTTGGTGCCTGAGGCTCTGTGGATTTCCCCTCCATCAATCATCTTACACTCTCATCCCCCTCAGATGCGTCTGAAGAAACATCGCTGGTATAAGAAAATCCTCAAGTCCCGAGATCCAATCATATTTTCTGTAGGGTGGAGGAGGTTTCAGACCATCCCGCTGTATTATATCGAAGACCATAATGGAAGACAAAGGCTTCTAAAGTATACCCCACAACACATGCATTGCGGAGCAGCCTTTTGGAGTAAAATATGATTACAATAACTTGCCTATTGCCGAGATTAAACCTTACAGGCTGTGTTATTTTAGCTTTTTGCTTTTCCTTTCATAAAATTCCACTCCTAAGATTTTTCTCTTTTCTGGGAGCAGGGAGGTGGTTTGGAGTATATATGTAAATCTATATCCAAATCTAAATGTCCATATCCAGTATGTTAAACTAGAATCTAAAATTTGTGGTTTGCTATATTTCTTTTTTTCCTTTTCCTTTAAGACCCTGTCACTCCACAGGGAACTGGTTTCTTGGCAATACAGTCTGTCAGTGGCATAATGGTAACTATCTTGGATGATTTCTTTTACAGATTGGTTTGAGAAATATATCCTGAATGTGGGTTATTATGTACATCAGACTTTAAGTTGAAAATTACACATTTTTATTAATATAAAGTAAATTTCCCTTTGCTTTTAATCTTTGTACATCCTTTTCAGTAGGGTGTGGGATTAGAGGAGGGGAGGTGGAAGAATTATGATGGTACATTTCCTATTTTTGTGCATCTTTTGCATTTATTTATCTAAGGAGATACTTAAGCAGTGCTCACCATGTGCTAAGCACTATATGAGGTTGTGAGGAGCCATCAGAGACCACCCAGATACAAGACTCCCTGCAGCTGTGCTGGGGTAGCAGTCTGTTCACTCCATTTTCATTTGACCAGTCAGGCAGGGCAGGGTTTACTGGTCCCATTTAACAGAGAAGGAAGCAGAATAATGAGCAGATGGAATCTTCCCTGGAGGTCCAAATTTTAGTTTCCTAAACATTGCAACTGTATTTTTCTTTTCCATTTCGTTCCAAATAAATCATTATAGTAAAATTACATTCCTCTGAAATCACTCTCAGGAAAGTACTCAAGTAGCCTTTTTTTTTTTTTTTTTTTTTTTTTTTTTTTTTTTTTTTTGAGAGAGTCACACTCTGTCGTCCAGGCTGGAGTGCAGTGGCATGATCTTGGCTCGCTGCAACCTCTGCCTCCTGGGTTTAAGTGGTTCTCCTGCCTCAGCCTCCCGAGTAGCTGGAATTACAGGTGTGCACCATCATGCTGAGCTAATTTTTGTATTTTTAGTAGAGACGGGATTTAGCCATGTTGGCCAGACTGGTTTCAACCTTCTGACCTCAGGTGATCCACCTGCCTTGGCCTCCCAAAGTGCTGGGATTACAGGTATGAGCCACTGTGCCCGGCCTCAAGTCACTCTTGTTAGTTTGGCTTACCAACTTTAAAGTTTTGGATTGCTTTTGTCAAACCACTGGGTTGCAAGTTCAGATGGTCTCTCTTGTTTTTCTTAGCTAATTGTAAGTAAAATTCACTTTGGTAATTTATTGTGTCAAATAGAATTGAAGTTTTTCTCTTGCTAATATTTTTCCTATTTTCAAATTTTGGGGTTCCTGTTAGCCTGATTTTCGCATAGCTGCCACAGGAGTTGTCCTTGATCTGGATAAATCCATAAAAATTGTGAAGAAATTAAAGCCAACTGGTTTTCCATATAAAATTTTCAAGAACACTTCATTTATTAAGGTCTGTATATCTATATATTCTCATATTTATAAATGTCCATATTATTTGAGAAAAGGAATGAAATACATCTAAAATATGGGCCTCATATTTTTAGAAAAGTGTTTGAAATCTTTTATAAACTTCATATTTTGTTTGCTCCTTTATATTCTGTATTACTTAAATATGCTCAAAAAAGCAGAGGTAAACAGCTATTTAGGAATTGAGGCTGTTACTCCTGACTTCCATGTGAGACTGCCACATAACTCATATTGAAAATATGTCATTTTATGCACTAGGTTTTGTTTCCTACTTTTTAAATTTGTGTTAAGAAAGGGAAAAAAATCACAAGTTTGTCTAACTCAGTAGAAAAATTGACAAAGCATTTGCAGACAACTTGGCAAGGGTACAGAGAAACGGATGTACTGTTTTTCAGTATTTGGGGAGGGTGGTTTGAGCACATATATTGACAATTTCATTAGTGGGGATGTTTCTATTGAAAACACAGAGTTAGGAAGTCTTAAAATGTTATTGGAATATAAAGTAATAATACCACCGGCGTTTATCTTACTGTTTTCATGTTCTAAGTGCATGCATCTAAGTAAAAGGATCTGGGCTGCAGTCCAGTCTGAGAGATGCCAGCAAAGGCTTCCTAGGCCAGTTCAGTCCAGTAAATCCCTCTTCGATCTTCTCTTCCACACAGACAGCAGTGATGAGCATGCCCATGAACTCACATGATTATTTTGGGGAAAATGAAAGAGTTGTATTCTTTTTGAGGTAGTAATTCCACTTTCAGGGGCAAATACATTTTGATTATTTTATCACCCTTCAGTGAGTTGTTTTTGTTCTTTAATCAAGGATGTATGTTTGAAGTAAGAAGTAAAGCATAAAGTATATGATTGTGTGTGTGTGTGTGTGTGTGTGTGTGTTTATCTTGCTATACCTGTAGGGAATATTTAATTCTGCCTTGGAAGTGGCCAAATTTGAAGGTGCTGTGATTCAAACTGTCAGTGGGATAAGGGGGCAGATCAAGAAAGCACTCTGAGCTCCAGAAGGAGCTTTCCAGGCCAGCTTTGAGGATAAGCTGCTGATGAGCGGTGAGTGTCTTAAGTAGTGTTCAGGGCAGGGTATTACCATTCATGCTTGACTTCTAGCCAGTGTGACGAGAGGCTGGAGTCAGGTCTCCAGAGAGTTGAGCAGCTCCAGCCTTAGATCTCCCAGTCTTATGCGGTGTGCCCATTCGCTTTGTGTCTGCAGTCCCCTGGCCACACCCAGTAACAGTTCTGTGATCTATGAGAATAGTTTCCTTAGCGAGCTTTCCCTTCAAATACTTTGCAGCCAGGTAGAGAAGTTTGGAGTGAAGGTTTTGTTCTTTTGTTTCTTTGCAGTATGGATATGAATCTTCCTTTGAAAATGTTGAAGTAAATTACCTCTTTTCGGATATTGTCTTCACGCGAACTTGGTATCCTGTTTCCATCCCAGCCTTCTATAACCCAGTAACATCTTTGTTGAAACCAGTGGGTGAGAAGGACACCTGGTCAAGAACGTGGACCACGGGCCAACTCAGGCTCACCCATGGTGTCAGACTAAAGGCAAACAAGGACTCTCTGTATAAGGTACTGGTCGTGTGTGTGTTAGTGGAGATGAAGGCTGTGCTCTACAGACAGGGAGTCACACAGACACTTTTCTATAATTTCTTATGTACTTTGAATATTCGAGTATAAAGTCTAACATTAAATTTGATTGAACAATTGTATATTTGTGGGATATTTTGGAATGGAACACCAAAAAAGGGTAATAGTGGTTCTTTCTGGATTGAAGACAAACTTTTCTTTTTTAAAATAAATTTTATTTTATATATTTGAGGTTGACAATATGATCTTAAAAGATACATATAGATAGTAAACTGGTTACTGTAGTGAAGCAAATTAACATAGCTACCATCTCACATAGTTAGATTTTTGTTTGTGTGACAGGAACAGCTAAAATCTACTTATTTAACAAAAATCCCAAAGACAATATATTTTTATTAACTATAGCCCTCATGATGTACACTAGATCTCTAACTTGTTCATCCTACATGTCTGCTACTTTGTATTATTTTAATGTACATCTCCCCATTTCCTATTGGTCATTTCCTATTTGGCCCATTTTTCAACTGGGTTGTTTTTCTACTATTAAGTTGTAAGAGTTCTTTACTGATTTTTGGATATTAACACTTTATCAGATATGTAGTTTGCAAATATTTCTTCCAGTCTGTAGGTTCCCCTTTCATTTTGTTGGTTGTGCCTTTGCTGTGCAGAAGCTTTTTAGTTTGATGCAGTCCTTCTTGTTTATGTTTACATTTGTATCCTGGCTTGTGGTGCAATATCCAAAAAATTATTGCTAAGGCCAATGTCAAGAGGCTTTCCCCCTATGTTTTCTTCTAGGAGTTTTATGGTTTCAGGTCTTATTTGGGTCTTTGGTCTTGTATCTGTTTTGAGTTGATTTTTGTGTATGGTGTATGATCAGGGTCCAATTTTATTCTTTTGCATGTGAAAATCCTATTATTGAAGAGACTATCTTTTTTACCATTGTGTTGTCTTGTTTGCCCTTGTCAAAAATTAGTTGACAGTATATGTTTGGATTTATTTCAAAGGTCTCTGTTCTGTTCCATTTGTCTATTTTTTTGTTTTTATACCAGCACCATACTGTTTTGATTACAATAGCTTTGTAATACAATTTTAAATCAAGAGGTGTGATGCCTCCAACTTTTTCTTTCACAGTAATCTGTTGGCTGTTTGGGGTTTTTTGTGGTTCCATATGAGTTTCAGGATTGTTTTTTCTTTTCTTTTTTTTTTTTTTTTTTGAGGCAAAGTCTCACTCTGTCGCCCAAGCTGGAGTGCAGTGGCATAATCTCGGCTCACTGAAACCTCTGCCTCCTGGATTCAAGCAATTCTTCTGCCTCAGCCTCCCAGGTAGCTGGGACTACAGGCACATGGCACTATGCCAGGCCAATTTTTGTAGTTTTAGTAGAGACAGGGTTTCACTATGTTGGCCAGGCTGGTCTCCAACTCCTGACCTTGTGATCCGCCCACCTGCAGTCTCCCAAAGTGCTGGAATTACAGGCGTGAGCCACTGTGCCTGGCCAGGATTGTTTTATTCTGTTCTGTGAAGAATACCATCAGAACTTTGATGAGGATTGTGTTAAATCTGTATATTTGCTTTGGGTAGTGTGAACATTTTAACAATATTAATTCTTCTGATCCATAAACATAGGATGTCTTTCCATTTGTTCATGTCTAAATTTCTTTCATCAATGTTTTATGGTTTTCAAGTGTACACATCTCTCACCTTCTTGGTTAAATTTATTCCTAAGTTTTTGTTTTTCTTTGATGCTATCGTAAATGAGATTATTTTCTTGATTGCTTCGTCAGCTAGGTTATTTGTATATAGAAATGCAACTGATTTTTATATGTTGAGTTTATACCTTGCAGCTTAACTAAATTGATTTAGTAGTTCTCACAGTTTTTTGTGGAATCTTTGGAGTTTTTTGCGTAAAGGATCTTGTCATCTGCAAATAGAGATAATTTTACTTCTTTAATTTAGTTGCCTTTTTTTTTCTCATCTGATTGCTCTTGCAAGTACTCTACTGAATAAAAGTGATGAGGCTGGCCATCCCTATCTTGTACTCAATCTTAGTGGAAAAGCTTTAGTTGTTCCCCACTAACTATGATTAGACTGTTTTTTTCATAAATGGTCTTTATTATGTTGAGGAACTTTCCTTCTATACATAAACTATTAAGAGGTTTTATCAAGAAAGGTTGCTAAACTTTGTTAAATGCTTTTACTGCATCAATTGAGGTGACCATGTCGTTTTATCTTTCATTTTGTTAATGTGATATATCACATTGATTGATTTACATAGTTTTAACCAGCCTTGCATGCCAGGGGTAAATCCCACTTAAACACGATGTATAATGTTTTCGATGTGTTGTTGAATTCTATTTGCTAAAAATTTTTTAGGATGTTTGCATCAGTGTTTAATTTATTGGAGAAGTTGACCTGTAGTTTTTGTTTGTTTGGTGTGTGTGTGTGTGTGTGTGTTTTGGTTTGGCTTAGGTATTAAGGTGATACTGGCCCGGTAAAATGTGTTTGGAATTATTTCCTCTCGCTCTGTTTTTGCGAAGAGTTTAAGAAGTAAACTCCAGGGGATGGGAGTGACTCTGGACATGGGAGTGACATGATAGTGACGCTGGACCCTGCAGTGATGGGACACAGCAGCACCTCAGTCTCTGTGAGACCAGGCGCAGCATCAACAAGGACCCCAGAATGGTGGAGCACGACTGTGGCTTGGGCCCTCGGGGGCAGGGACCAGTGCAGCAACTACTTCTCTCCCTGGGGAGGCAGGTGCCTGGGCAACTCAGATTCTCCAGGGCTAGTCCAGTTCCAAGGAAGCAGGGTTCTACAGTTGTTTGTCCTGAAGGGCAAGGTACCCCAGTTCAGCCAATGCTGTTTTCCCGGGATATGGGGGTGCCATGTTGGCTCATCCCTGGCAGGTGTGGCTGCTCAGCTCAGCCAAGACACTGATTCCCTGTGAAGCAGGGCAGTGCTTCAGCTCTCGTGCAGTGGGGGGTGTGACTGCTCAGACTGGCCAAGGCACTGATTCCCTGGAAAGCAGGGCACCAAGTCAGCTCAGGCTCCAAGGGGCAGGGCACAATGGCAGCTGGGAGGGGAGGGGCACAGCAGTGTGGCCCCGCAGGTGCGGTGTATGCTGTGATGTGGACATCATTTGTTCCCACCAGCCATTTGAAATTTCATCCATTTGAAATTTGATTCCAAATGTGGTGGTGTGGGAGGTGGGGCCTAGTGGGAGGTATTTGGGTCACAGGGCAGATCCTTTATGAATAGATTAATGCCTTTTCATGGGACTGGATTAGTTACCAGGAGTGGATTGTTATCAGAGTGAGTTCAGCTTCCTAGACTCTCGTGTTTCCTCTCTTGCCATGTGAGCCCCTTGCATACACCTGTTTCGCCTTCCACTTTCCCCATGAGATGAAGCAGCACAAGACCCTCGCCAGTTGTGCTGCCCGATCTCGGACTTTTCAGACACAAGCAGGGTGAGCCAAATAAACCTTTTTTATAAAATAAGTTACCCCTAGTCTCAAGTATTCTGTTACAGCCACACTAAATGGCCTAAGACAGTGTAACAGTGGCTCGGGGGTGGTGGGCCACTAGGTGGGTGTGATATAGAGCAACAAAGCCTGAGGATGGAAGAAGGGTGCGGTGGCTGCTCACCCTGGGTGGGACATGCTCCCGAAGTGGTCCAGGTCCAGGAGGGCACGTTGCAGCAGCAGCTGGTCCATGGGGGTGGGGCACAATGTCAGTTCCTTCTCTGAGGGGAGTGCTGGGGCTACTGGGCCCCTCTTGCTTCCTTATCCCTGCAGGGAGACATCCCCTCTGCTTCAGGCTGATCCCTCTGGGGGAATGGGTGGTGGGGGCCAGATGTTTCCTTCCCTCCTTTATGTGACCATCCTGGTTTTCTGTGCTCTACTGGATTTCTGCTACTCCTTGATGCACTCTGGGGCTCTCTTTTAGTGACTTTCATCAAAATATAGTTGTTTGCTGCTTTGGCTGTCTTTGTCAGGGGATGAGTGCAAGGGGCTATTGATCAGCCCCTTGCTGGCGTCACTCCCTCTTAAACTTTTCACTGGGTACTCTTTTGAACTATTTTTTCCCCCACCGTATACATGTATTTTTTTAAATGTTAATGTGCTAATTTCTACTGAAGCAATGTGGATTTTTCTGAAAGCTTTAATGTTTTAATAAGCTTTTTATTGAAATGTTAATGTCCATACAGAAGAGTGCCCAAATCATAAGTGTGCATCTAGATGAACTATAGCACACCAGGCTGCCACGCCCTGGACCAAGCAGTAGCCTTGACCTGTGGCCTCTCCCAGGCACTGCTGCCCCAACCCACAAAATAGCTACTTTCCCAGTTCCTGATGTAGATTTGTTCTACCTGGTTTTGACTTCTATAAAATACAGCATATTCTATTTAACCTGGCTTCTTTGGTTCAGTATTACAGAATACATCTGTGTTCTTGTCTATGGCAGATACTGATTTATTGTCATTGTTGAGTTCCATTATATGACTGTGTCACCATTTTTCCATTGATGAGTAAAGTGATTTCCTATTTTTGGCTGTTATCCCACGGCCCTGAACACTAGGTCTGGATATGGGACTTGCAGGTATGCAGGGGCACACGCACTTCTGCTGGGGGATCCCTGGGTGGGGTGGAGACTCCAGGGCACCTGTGCTCTGCTTCAGTGTGGAGGGTTCTGTGTCGTGTTCTGGGAGCACAGTGGCTTGGCCTCCACCACCAGCAGCAGCTTAAAGAGTTCCTGCTGTTCCACATGCTTGCCAACAATTGGCCTCTTGAGTTTTTTTTTTTTTTTAAGTTTTCAGTGCCTGCCTGGACTTGTGTTTTCATTTAGATTTTGGTTTCTTAGAACTTTTGTTTTTCTCTTCACAGCTTAACAATGCATTTGAAAAGATTTGTTTTCATGTGGAGTATTCAGTTTTGTAATAAGAGGGTTGTTCAAGGCATCACTCTGCCACTCTGCTAGAAACAGAAGTCTCCCAGGCATTTCTTTTTATATAAAGTAGTTAATGAAATTTTGAACCATCTTACATGAATTTTTATTAAAATACACTTCCGGATGTGGTGCCCATTATCCATTCTACTCTTTTGTAACAAGTAGATTTCTCTGAATTCTTGAATTTGAAAACAACTGGGGTTCCTAAACAGAGAATATGGAATATTATTAGGGATGATGTCTTTAATAATACATTTCAAGACAGGAGAAACTTTTTCTATATAGTTGACTTTAATAAAAAGCTTAGGGCAAAACTTTCAATATATTAACAGTATTTATGAGGCAGTTAAGAATTTGGGTCATCTCCATTTCTGCTAAAAATACGAAAAATTAGCCAGGTGTGGTGGCGGGCATCTGTAGTCCCTGCTACTTGGGAGGCTGAGGCAGGAGAATGGTGTGAACCCGGGAGGCGGAGGTTGCAGTGAGCCGAGATCATGCCACTGCACTTTAGCCTGGGCGACAGAGCAAGACTCCATATCAAAAAAAAAAAAAAAAAAAGAATTTGGGTCATCTCAATTAAACATAGAATTTAAGATTATGTTGAAAATTCAGTACAGAGTATTTTGTCTTCATCTGTTGTTTGAGTCTCCCTTCTTTTAGCCAACCTTCCATCAGAAATAGAATACCAACTTAAACTTCTTAATTAGAATCAGGAATCAGGACTCTTTGGCTGCTGATTGGAGGAAGAACTGTCCTTAAATCCAGAGTGGGCTGGGCATGGTGGCTCATGCCTGTAATCCTAGCACTTTGGGAGGCCAAGGCAGGTGGATCACCTGAGGTCAGGAGTTCAAGACCAGCATGACCAACATGGTGAAACCCCATCTCTACCGAAAATACAAAAATTAGCCGGGCGTGGTGGTGTGTGCCTGTAGTCCCAGATACTTGGGAGGCTGAGACAGGAGAATTGCTTGAACCTGGGAGGTGGAGGTTGTGTGAGTCAAGATCACACCACTGCACTCTAGCCTGGGTGACAGGGCGAGACTCCATCTCAAAAAAAAAAAAAAAATCCAGAGTGGTTGGTAGTCAAGACAAAAAGCTAGATTATTTTTGTTAGCCTGAGAACTAAGCACCTTAGTGGCCCAAAGACAAGGCCTGAAATTTCCATGAAAAGAAACTGGGATCTGTTCATCTGTTCTGTTGAGACATAGTTCCATACCATAGAAATAGACACAGTGGGTTTCGGGGGGAGAGTTGTAAGTATAAGCTCTCTGTACCTCTGTTTACTGTTTAGTGAGAATTTGGGTGTCCACTGAGGCAGTTCATACTTGGCGGATGATTGAGTCCTGATTTCTCAGGGCCAGCAGACTCTGGTGTTACTGATCTTGTGGAAAAGTCAACCCAATGAGAAGATTTTATGCAGAAGTTTTAAATGCACATTGATCATAATTTGAATATGTCACAGTCTTTATTTTTCTTTTCAGCCAATCCTGAGGCAAAAGAAACATTTTAATTCACTGCACATTCCAAAAGCCTTGCAGAAGGCCCTGCCATTTAAGAACAAGCCCAAGGCCAGGCGCGGTGGCTCACGCCTGTAATCCCAGCACTTTGGGAGGCTGAGGCGGGCGGATCACGAGGTCAGGAGATCGAGACCATCCTGGCTAACATGGTGAAACCCTGTCTCTACTAAAAGTACAAAAAATTAGCCAGGTGTTGTGGTGGGCGCCTGTAGTCCCAGCTACTTGGGAGGCCGAGGCAGGAAAATGGCGTGAACCTGGGAGGCAGAGCTTGCAGTGAACTGAGATCGGGCCACTGCACTCCAGCCTGTGCGACAGTGCGAAACTCTGTCTCAAAAAAAAAAAGAAAAAAGAAAAAACAAAAAACAAACCCAAGAACCAAGCAAAGGACAGGCGGAGACTGGCCGTCATGCGTGAGCCTCATGAAAGAAAGGTACTGTCGCCCATGCCGTACTGCACGCTGCATTTAGATAGGAAAAGAACACTCTCAGTAGCACACTTCCTGTTTCTACTGCAGTCTCAGTTATTCAGGGCACTGGAACTAAAGTCAGAGGAAGAGCTGGAGTCAATTTCCCTTCCTTTGCCTGGTCCTGCTCTGCCCTGTTCTTTTGATGGGGTATAACAGGCACATGACTGGGGAACCCTTCTGTCTTGGTTAGCTGCACACAGTGTCCACAGAATGATGAACAGAGGTAGTAAAGGTAAAATGCGATCACACTTGTGTCTCCATGCCAACAATGACTTCCTAGCGCAGGATGCATTTTCATGCGGTTAATATTCATTTGGATCGTGGGTTGCCTCTAGTCTTAGTGCTTAGGATGTGAGTGTGTGGTGGCTGAGAGCATTCTGATACTCACCGGCTTTTGTCCTTGTCAGATCCTCGCACTGCTGGATGCTCTGAGTATGGTGCACAGTCAGAAGATGAAGAAGGCCAAGGAGCAGCGGCACCTGCACAATAAAGAGCACTTCAGAGCCAAGCAGAAGGAGGAGGAGGAGAAGCTGAAGCGGCAGAAGGACCTCAGGAAGAAGCTCTTCCAAATTCAGGGGCAGAAGGAAAGAAGAAACCAGAAGTCCAGTTTGAAGGGGGCTGAGGGCCAGTTTCAGTGAGCCTTTGGACTGGAGGGACTGTCCCTGGATCTGCAGAGGTGGACAGTTTCAAACATCACAGTTTGAATGCCTGTGAATGACAAGTCAGTGGGCAAGAACTCAAGAGATGTCTCTACACAAACTGTGCCTGCAAGAGGAACAGAGAAGCCTGAACTACTTGGACCGGGTTCATTCTCATCACTTGGGGCTGTTGAGATTTAAAGTGATGTAAGCTGTGGTTGTGTGGATTCTCTTACTTTCCTCTGCCTGCCTCAGTTTAATTATTTTGTCCTGCAAAAATACCATTAAATTTTTTTTTTGTTAGTTTTGGCTTAGTAGTTTTCATTAGGGATGAATGCCTGACAATTCTTTGTGGATAATTATTTATGCTACCACCTTCATGAGGAGTCTTCCAGAAGAGAAAGAAATATTCACTTGAACCCTCAGCTCTCATGCAAAATTTTAGAGAAGAGTGTGTAGTGTTTTTATTGTGTTTTTTGTTTGAGTGACACACAAACCTAGATGGTACAGCCTACTATGCACCTGGGATCTATGGGTTCCTTTGATCACTGGCCCTCGTGGACATTTTCTATCTTATGTCATATGTTCTGCACATTAGTATAGTGACAAGGTAACAGTAAGTACTTTTTTAAAGCTTTAGACTTAGGAGATTGTTGTCTCATGTGCAGAGACCAAGGAAATTGTATGTATCAGTGAGATAGGCTTCCCATATTATGCTCATGCATTATACCTGCCTAGCTACATTGCCTTTTTTTAAATTAAACATTATATTGATGTAATCATACTATTACATAGGCGATATATGTATTTTATGATTGTATGTTGATATAGTTATGGGGAATCTAATCCTATACGATGTAATCATAGATTCACATATAGTTGTATATTTTGCCCAATTTCTTTCAGTGGTAATGTTTCACACATATCACAATCAGGATGTTGACATCAATACAGCCCACTGATTTTATTCACCTTTCCTCAGCTTTACTTTCCCCAAGTATACTCCTCCAGGTATGCATGGGTGTGTAGAAATATGGAACGCAGCTGGGCACAGTGACTCACGCCTGTAATCCCAGCACTTTGGGATGCTAAGGCAGGAGGATCACTTGAGCCCAGGAATTTGAGACCAACTTGGGCAACATGGCAAAACCTCATCTCTACAAAAAATAAAAAATTCACCTGGTGTGGTGGTGCATACCTGTAGTTCCAGCTGCTTGGGAGGCTGAGGTAGGAGGATCACTTGAGTTCGGGAGGTTGAGGCTGCAGTGAGCCATGATAGCACCACTGCACTCCGGCCTGGGCGACAGGGCAAGACCCTGTTTCAAAAAAAAAAAAAAATTATATATATATATGTATGTATGTAGAACACTTCATGAATTTGTGTCATCTGTGCATGGGGCCCATGGTGACCTCTGTGTTGTACCAGTTATAGTATGTGCGCTGCTGATAGGAGTACCACATTGCCTTTACAACATCATAGGGGCCAAAGAGGGTCGGCAGGATTATGAGCAGTTGGCCCTAGTCTGAGAGGCTCTCTAAAAACCTAAAGTTGTCAGCAGACAGGTGCTCAGCTTTGTATCTCCATAAGAAGGGAAGAGGATGTGAAAATCCTGTCATGGCTGGGTCCACTTGGGAAGTGACAATTGGAACATGCCCAGACCTCTCTGAGCAACTCTGGGTGTACATTTTCCTCTATTCCTCAAGAGCTATTGTGAATTTGATCATCCAGTATGCTGATAGGCCTGGGGACTGACACATAGTAAGCCCATAACAATTATAATTTAAAACTAATTTGTTATATAGCATAATTGATATATTTTAAAATGCAAAACTATAATTCAACTAAAATATACAAGGCACTCTAAGTCATACCATGTTTTAAGTAGCTTACAAGGTGATCAGCAAGTGTCTTATACAACAAGCAAATTTGTTCAAAGAGAAGCCTTGCAAATAAGTATTTATAATTGTATGGTTTTATATTTTAGCCAGAAGAGTGAAATTGTTTAGCAATGGGGGAAATAAAAGAATGTTTAATTACAGTTGCAGATAATTGCCTTTTCCAAAGACAATGTATGTAGGCAGAAGTCATACCTGTTAATATTAAAAATCTTGGTTTATCATATTTGGAGAACAAGGGAAATAAAAAGTTTGTATATCAAGATTATTTAAAACTAAAGTTAAGGAATCTCTAATGTCTGAAAGAAACAATAAATAGCATTTTCTATGTAGAATTTTTATTTGTGAAGGTTCCACCTGGCCAGGTTAGTAAAATACAGTCACACATCAGTTAAGGATGGGGATATATTCTGAGAAATGTATCATTTAGGCAATTTTGTCATTGTGTAAACATCATAGAGTGACACGCAAACCTAGATGGTACAGCCTACTGTGCACCTGGGCTCTATGGTATGGCCTATTGCTCCTAGGCTACAAACCTGGGCAGCATGTGACTGTACTGACTACTGTAGGCAGTTGTAACAGAGTGGTAAACATTTGTGTATCGAAACATAGAAAAGGCATAGCAAAAATACAATATTGTGGAACCACTGCCGTATATGTGGTCCATCCTTGACTGAACGTCGTGCAGCATGTGGCTATATGTATACACATAGTTTTTGCTGTGAGTTTGCATCCATCTCATAGGAAGACATATATCAAAATAAGGACCAGACTGGAGAGTGTGTAAATTACTTTTCAATACTAATGGCTTATTAATTTGATATTGCCACAAGTATGTTGCAAAAATAAATTCCACCAGAATGTGAGTTCCGTGAGAGCAGGAACTGGGTTGTTCACCTTGTTGGCACTTAGAGTAGAGCCACTGAGCATCGTGCGGCATAAAATTGCTTGGAAGAAAGAAGGGAGGGCATTCCAGGTAACCGAAGCATTGCTATGCAAAGTAAGCATTTGCCCTCTGAACTATTTTAACAATTTTTATAGAAACCTTTCTCAATTGCATTAAACTTTGTAAATTGTAAAAATTATTCTGTTATACCTTTCTATCTTTTTACTATGCACAGGCAGCCATAGGTGCTGGGTATGTTTTGAAAACATATTGAACCTATAGTGTACGTATCTTTCCATGCCATTAAATATTCTTATTTAATCATAGATGTGTTCAGGTGTGTTTGGTTTCCTATTTGTGGATGTACTAGATTGTTTTCTTTTTTTAACAAAACCTGTGAACTTGCTTTAAGTATTATCATTTGGTGACATGGCTGCCATTTCAGAAATAAATGTTTGAGCAAACAGGAAAGCCACCGGGTCTGATTCAGCTCTCTGGAGGCTTCAGAGCTTACCCCGCTGACGGGAAAAGAGCATCGATTTAATTGCCCTTGGTACTGACTTCTAGTGTCTAGTATTTTGCCAGACTCAGGTATTTCTTAAAGCCATTATTCAGAGTCTTCAGCAAGGACATTGTATTTTATTTGTGTCTTCTTAGTTTTACCTAGTTTATTTCATGGTTTTAAAGTATTGAACATTTTTATAATCCTTTAACAAGACAAAAGGTTAAGATGTTGGACATTTAAATGCCAAAGGTGTTTTATTATGAGACTTAGAATTTCATATTTGGGGATGGTACCTTATTATTGAAAATCAGATAAACTTTGGTTGGGTGGGTATTTGGAGGAATCTTTTAAGTCTTTTCTTAAGCAAAGTTTGGACATTCTAAAATAAGGCTGCCAACTGGCATGTAGAGAGAGAAGGATGTGTCATACATTTAGATCAGGTGGCCTGTCCTGTAACTTTTTTGTGGGGGAGGGGTGGGTTTGTTTTTTGTGTGTGTTGGTTTTTTCCAATTTTTGTTTTGTGATAAAATATGCATAATAAAACTTATTTTATCAATTTTTAATTGTATGAGTCGGTGGCATTAATTACCTTCACAGTGCTGTTGCAGCCATCTTCAGAGCCTTTCCATCATCCCAAACTGAAACTTTGTACCCATTAAACAACATCTCCTCATTCCCTCCTTCCCCCAGCCCCTGCAATCACCATTCTGTTTTCTGTCTCTGAGTGACTACTCTAGATACATTTGCAAATGGAATCATACAATATTTGTCTTTTTGTGTCTTGTTTATTTCACTTAGCATACTGTCTTCAAGGTGTGTCCAGTTGCAGCATGTGTCAGAATTTCCTTCCCTTTTAAGGCTGAATAATATTCCCTGTGAATGTCTTTACCACATGTTGCTTATCCATTCATCTGCTGATGGACGTATGGGCTATTGGCAATAATGTTGCTTGAACATTGGTGTGTAAATATCTGTGTGAGTCTCTGTTTCAGTTCTGTGTGTAAAAGTGGAATTGCTGGGTCAAATGTCATTCTGTGTTTAATTGTGTGAGGAACTGCCACACTGTATCCACAGCTGCTGTGGATTCCTTACATTCCTTCTAGCAATACGTACAAGGGTTTCAATTTCTCCATAGCCTAGACCACCCTCATTACTCTGTTTTTTTGTTGGTTGGTTGATTGGTTTCTTAAAAAACAGGCATCCTAGTGTGAAGTTGCATCTCCTTGTGATCTGCATGTCGGTAATGACTAGTGATGTTGAGCATCTTTCTGTGTGCTTATTGGCCATCTATAGACCTTCTTTGGAGAAATGTCTATTCAAGTCCTTTGAATCAGATTTTTTGTTGTTGTTGAATTGTAGAAGTTCTTTTTATATTCTGGATATTAAACCCTTATCAGATAAACCATTCACAAATATTTTCTCTCATTCTTTGGGGTGTCTTTTCACTCTGATAGTGTCCTTTGTTGTGCAAAGGTTTTTTTAATTTTGATAAAGTCCAATTTATTTTTTCATTTGTTGCCTGTGCTTTTAGTGTCATAGCCAAGAAATTACCAAATTATTGTTTAGTTTTTTAAAAGTATTTATGTGATTATTTGGCTGATACCTGTCTCTAATGATTGACAGCACTTCTTGAGCGTGGCTTTTAAACATGCAAACTTGATGTCACTTTCCGAGGCTCCTTCCATGGCTTCCCTTTGCTTCTAGGCCGCGGCCCTTGTCTGGCCTCGCTGGTGCTCTGGCCCCTGCCCTCCTCTAGGGCCTCTCTTCTGCTGCCTCCAGCTCTGGCCACAGTGGCCTTTCATTCCTCAGTGCACTTGCCTGGGGTCCTCAACACTTGCAGTTCCCTGTGCCTGGAATGCGGCAGCTCCTACGTCCCCCTCCCTGCCTCTACCTCCTTGCTGCTCCTTCTGATGCTGGCCCTGAGGCCACTGGTCGGTGAGGCCTTCCCTGGACCCTCTCCAAACTCCCCAGTACTCCTCCAAACTTTTCTCCAAAAAACCAGTGGCACTCAATTGTGCCGTCCAGGGACCCCTGGGATTTTCACGACCCTGTCAGCAGCTGAGTGAGGTCGAGTCAAGAATGTTTCGTGACAATAAGGAGACGTTATTGATCTCTTTTCACTGGAAGTGGGAGCGTCTCGCCGGGGGACAGCGGGCTGAGGATGCAGCTGTGTTAGGACATGACAGCTCGCACAACTGAAGCACCGCCATTTTCCCAGTTTTTTTTTTTTTTTGCTTTGGAAAACATTTCTCACAAAAATATGCGACTTATGTTACCATGTAATGGGCTTGCTTCTGTTATTTTAAAACAAACTAATAAATCTCTTAAATGTTTCTCGGCTTTATTTTTTTTTTTGTTATGGTTCCTTTTCTTCTGTTTTCCCCAGCTTTATGAAAGTTTAATTGACAAACTTACATATCTTCACTGCTCACAGCGTGCTGCTTTGCTGTATGTGTGCCCTGTGGAACGCTTTGTGGCGCTGCTGCACACCTCCATCACCTACTGCGGTGAGGGCCCCTGGGATCTGCGCTCCGGGCGCTGCGCCCTCGCCCCCCGCTGTGCCTGAGCCCCCCCCCCCCCACCCCCGGCCCTGGGACCCGCTCCCGCTGCTGGAACCGCACCCGTGGCCGGCGCCCAGTCCCCAACCCCGCTTTAGTTTCCACCCACGCGAAGAAACTCAGCCTCGGTCCTGTTTAGGCACGGAAAGGGCTGGAGAACCGCGTCCTTCCGAGGCGCCCCCAGCGCGGCTCCCCACGGCGTGCAGGACCTCGGACTGTCGCGCTGCGCCCTGGGATGCACAGGAGGTGGGACCCAGGAGCGAAGCCCCTGCAGCGTCCCAGACTGGACGTGGCCCTGCACCCCCAGCTGCTGGGCTGGCTGGGACATGCATGAGATCACGCGCTTTACAAACTGTAGGTCTTTCTGGGAAAGTTAAAGAACGCGCTGCAGCCGCTTCACCTGCTGCCGAAAGGAGCCCGGGCAGGGCTGGTCACTCCGCGCCACACCCCGCGCGCCAACACCGGAAGGTGAATGTTCAGAACATTTTTATCATTTAAAGCCAGTATACCGGCTGGGCGCGGTGGCTCACACCTGTAATCCCAGCTACTTGGGAGGCCTAGGCAGGAAGATCCGATTGAGCCCAGAAGTTCCAGAGCACCCTGGGCAACATGGCAAGACCCTATCTCTACAAAAAAAAAAAAAAAAAAAAAAAAAAAAAAAAAAAAAAGCCGGGAGTGGTGGCACGCACCTGTGGTCCCAGCAACTCGGGAGGCTGAGGCGGGAGGATGACCTGAATTCAGTAGGTCTCCAGCCTGGGCGACAGAGCGAGACCCTGTCTACTAATAAATAAAGCCAGTGTACCTAAAATACCATCATAACATGGAATCAGTATAAAAATGATTATTGAACTACTTGACATTCCTGTTTTGTGCTAAGTCTTTGAAATTTGGTGTAGTGTTTTGTTTTGTTTTGTTTTGTTTTTTGAGACAGAGTTTCGCTGTTTTTGCCCGGGCTGGAGTGCAATGGCACGATCTCAGCTCACTGAAACCTGCCTCCCAGGTTCAAGCGATTCTCCTGCCTCAGCCTCTGGAGTAGCTGGGATTACAGGTGCCTGCCACCACGCCCGGTTAATTTTTTTGTAGTTTTAGTAGAGACAGGGTTTCTTCATGTTGGCCAGGCTGGTCTCAAATCCCTGACCTCAGGTGATCCGCCTACCTCGACCTCCCAAAGTGCTGGGACCACAGGCATGAGCCACTGTGCCTGGCCCGGTGTGTACTCTTAAAACATCTCTCAATTGAGATCTAAATTTTGTGGGAAATAATCTATATTTAGATTTCACAGTATTCACAGTTGAAAAAATAGATGTATATCCCCTTGTTTCAAATGTAACTGAACCTAGTGACTTGTTTGAAATTCAAATTAATTAAAATAAAAAATGTCCAGTTCTCGGCAGCAGTTGCACATTTCAAGGGCTCAATGGCCCCATGTGGCAGTGGTCCCGTAGAGGACTGCACAGCTCTACACATGGTGTAGGAAGTTGGAGAAGGCTTCCTTAGGGAAGCAAGTGATGGTTGAGCCATGACCAGAAGTTGGTTAACTCGGCAAAGGCTGGGAGTTGGGGAAGCAGAAGAGTGTGTCAAGCACAGGAATGTTATGTGGAAAGGCCTGTGACACAGGGCAGCATGACGCCTGCAAGCCAGCGTGGCTGGAGCCAGGACAGTGGCAGAGAGTCCTAGGAGCTGGGGAGGAAAATAGAGAGGCAGGGGATGAGGCCGCTTTAAGATGCTATCTTCATCCCAAGACACCAGGAAGCCCTGGGAGAACATTTAACTGGGACAGCGTGGTCAGATTTCCATTTTTCAAAAAGCTCCTTTGCTACTGGGTGGAGATAGTTTGCAGGAAGTTCAGGGGGAGGAGGCACAGAGAGGGAGAAGTGGTGGGTGCTAGAGCTCTGAGAGGTAACATTGGAGGGGTAGTGGGTCTGGGGGTTTTGAGGAACAAGGGGTTTTCGGGGAGTACCCCAGGGACCCCAAGTGTCTGGCTGGGATGCCGGGTGGAGTGACGGGCACCTGTGGGACAGCCAGGTAGAGACATCTGAGGCGGCAACTGGGGAAATGTCTGGAACTCCAGTTGATGTGCTACCTGGGCTTAAGATGTACTGCCAAGAGTTACCAACACCTACACTTGGGAGTGGGTACATTATCCAGGGAGGAGCCAAGATTGAACACAGGTGGGTTTTTGTTCACCATTTTAAAAATTTTTAATTTTTTTTTGGAGAGACAAGGTCTCACTATGTTGCCCAGGCTGGCCTCAAGAGATCCTCCTGCCTTGGCCTCCCAAAGGGCTGGGATTACAGGCGTGAGCCACCGGTCCCAGTCTGTTCAGCACTTTTTCCACTAGCTTAGTATGTCCACACACCTCAAAGAGATCACCAAGTCCAACTCATACATGCAAACCAGTGCTCAGAAAGTCCACATGATCCTGCTGTGGTTCATTTGACCAAAACTGAGTGGTGGAGCTAAGCAAGGCTGTTTCACAGAAGCCAGATATATAAGTGGCCTCAATATGGAGGGCAGGTCACCATCTCCCAGTGTCTCTGACTGCTGCACCCACACTTGGCAACCTGTGCTCAGGTCAGGGATGGTCTGGGTGGGGGCTCCAGTTTCTGCCACTCACCAGTGATGTGACTCTGGGCAATGTACAAAATCTCTTGGGTTTTAAGTTTCTTATCTGTAAGATGGGGATAATAAACCAATCTTGCAACATGTGAGGATTTAATGAGACTACAGTTCCCATGAAGGGGATGGGGTGCTGACCTTCCCACACAGTCAAAAATCCACATATAGGCCAGGTGTGGTCACTTACGCTTGTAATCCCAGCACTTTGGGAAGCTGAGGTGGGCAGATCATGAGGTCAAGAGTTTGAGACCAGCCTGATCAACATGGTGAAACCCCGGCTCTACTAAAAATACAAAAATTAGTCAGGCGTGGTGGTGCGCACCTGTAATCCCAGCTACTCAGGAGGCTGAGGCAGGAGAATTGCTTGGACCCAGGAGGTGGAGGTTACAGTGAGCCGAGATCTCACCACTGCACTCCAGCCTGCAGGACAGAGCAAGACTCTGTCTCAAAAAAAAAAAAAATCCACATATAACTTCCAACTCACCACAACTTTTGTTAATAGCCTACTATTGGCCAGAAGCCTTACCAATAACATAAACACTCAACACATATTTTGTATGTGATTTGTATTGTATACTGTATTCTTACAATGCAGTAAGCTACAGAAAAGAAAAAGTACTAATAAAATCATAAGGAAGAGAATGTATTCACTATCACTAAATGGAAGTGGATCATCATAAAGGTTTTCATCCATATCGTCTTCACATTGAGTAGGCTGAAGAAAAGAAGAGGTTGGTCCTGTCATCTCAGGGATGGCAGAGGCAGAAAAGGTGGGGGAGATGGGAAGGAAGTCAGGAGATACACAGACGCTGAGAAATTCATCATTATTTCTGTCTGACATTTTTGCTTTTTCATGTCTCTAAATATGTTTCTTTATGTTACCAATCCTTCTTCCACCATTTGCTTTAGTTTTGGTGCTCGTACCATAGAAAGGTCCATGTGGTAGAAGAAGTCACAAGTAGTCTTGAATAATCAGAACCCCTCTGCCAGATTGTTGAATGTCAACTTATTTTCTGGCACTGCATCTACATCCTCTTCCTCATAATCTGGCACTGATTCAAAAACACTCATCTCCATCAAGTGGTCTTCTGTTAATTCCTCTGGTGTGATGTCTATTCACTCTTGAATTTCTCCAAGATCCATATCCTGAAAGCCTACATTCCCCACCTTTTTTGCCACAGGCACACTCTCTTTCATGATTTCCTTGATTGGCCCTGTTGTACATCTGGACACAGTTTTCTCCAGTAGGAAGGCTGGGCACTGAGAGCCTTAGAACCTTCTGCTTCACCTTTTGACATATAGGGCCCAATTTTAATGCATTTAAATGTTGCCTCCACTCCAAAATGAACATAGGACATATGTAATGTGTGAAATAGGTGTGTCTTACCCCCTTCATGAATATTCATAGAGCCTTCTATAACCTGTTGAATATGTACATTTAGCCAACCCTTTCAGCATAACTTCCTGTCTCATCTTTCTGTCCCTGGAAGTGCCTGCTTTTGGTCTTTGCTGGAGGCTACACTTCCCAGCCTGTCAAGATGGCCAGCCTGCAGGCTGCAACCTTTCTAAGAAATAAGGCTTTTGGGCTGGCCCAGTGGCTCTCACCTGTAATCCCAGCACTTTGAGAGGCTGAGTTGGGTGGATCACTTGAGACCAGGAGTTTGAGCCCAGCCTGGCCAACATGGAGAAACCCCATCTCTACCTAGAAAAAAATACAAAAATTAACCAGGTGTAGTGGCATGTGCCTGTCTTCCCAGCTAATCTGGTGGCTGAGGCAGGAGAATTGCTTGAACCTGGGAGGCAAAGGTTGCAGTGAACTGAGATCGCACCACTGCACTCCAGCCTGGATGATAGAGCTAGACTCTCTCAGACAAAAAAAGAAAGAAAGAAAGAAAATAAGGCTCTTGGCCTGGCACAGTGGCTCATGCCTGTAATCTCAACACTTTAGAAGGTCGAGGTGGGAGGATTGCTTGAGCTCAAGAGTTCGAGACCAGCTGGGCAAGATAGTGGGACCCCTGTCTCTACAAAAACAAGTTTGAAAATTAGCCAGGCATGGTGGCACACACCTGTAGTTCCAGCTACTTGGGAGGCTGAGGTGGGAGATTGCCTGAGCCCTGGAGGTTGAGGCTGCAGTTAGTCATGATTGTGCCACTGTACTTTAGCCTCTCCAAATTTGTAGATCTCATAATTTTAAGTCACCATTCTCCACCAGTCTTTCGTTTTAGGTTGTCATATAATGACATCAGTTTTTCTTGGATCATATTAGAGTCTATAGATATGCTTTTCTTATAGATATCCTGCACCCACATAAAAGCTGCATTTTCTCTATTTCTCTGTCCTTCTTTCCTTCTTTCATCTCCTTTTTTTCCCCCCCTGACAGAGCCTCGCTTCCAGGCTGGAGTGCAGTTGTGTGATCTTGGCTTACTGCAGCCTCCATCTCCTGGGCTCAAGTGATCCTCCTGCCTCGGTCTACCAAAGTGCTGGGATTAAAGGCATGAGCTACTACATCCAGCCAAAAGCTATATTTTCAAGACTAGATAAAAAGGTATTTGGCAAAAAGAGCAAAGTTTCATGTCTGCTAGCATGCCTGCAGTGATGACACTGCGAATTTCATTTTCTTTTTTTACAATGGTTCTTAGGCTGGATTAATTTATCTTGAAATGGTGGGCAACCACAGCTGCAGACCTCAGTCTACAGTACATATCAATCAATCCACCTTTTTCTTGTACTGTCAAGACTTTTCTCTGCTTCTTGGCAGCACTTCCAGCATCACTAGTGGCATTTCATACACGTTTCGTTGTCTTCTTCAGGTTTATGGTATTGCACTAAACATGAAAAATACATGAGAACCACAAGAGATTACTTTTCACTGTGATACACAATCTACAGGAGAGACAAGTGCTCACGTGGAGATGGCTAGTGTCACATGGCATTTTAAGTGGACACTGGACACCTGAGTGCACTGCAATACTAGCGGGAGGGGTGACAGAATTATTACAGTAGTACAGTGGGCTCCCATTAATTTATGCAATTATGACTTAATACTGCATCTTTACATTTGTTTACATTTCTCTTGACTGGCACCATATACTGTGTTTGTGTGCATAACTTTTGATAAATTTTAACTGTTTATAACTGATTTATGTATGTTTTATGGTGGTAAATGATAAAAATATGCTAGTATTTTATGCATTCACGACATACCTTTTTCTTAACTTTTTCAATATTTCTAGGCTACAAGGTTCATCTGCAAGTTTCTTCAAATGGTTGCAATGTTTACTGCAACCTCCATCTCCTAGGCTCCAGTGATCCTCCTGCCTCAGCCTCACAAAGTGCTGGGATTACAAGCATGAGCTACTACATCTGTCCAAAAGCTGCATTTCCAAGACCAGGTAAAAAAGTATTTGGCCAGAAGAGCAAGGTTTCACGTCTGCTGGCATGGCTGATATGAAATTTTCCAATACATTTTTCCAATATATTTATTGAAAAAAAAAGTGGGCCAGGTGTGGTGGTTCATGCCTGTGATCCTAGCAATTTGGGAGGCCAAGGTTGGGAGGGTTACTTGAGTCCTGGAGTTCGAGACCAGTCTGAGCAACATAGTGAGACCCCGTGTCTTTTTTTTTTTTTTTTTGAGACGGAGTTTCACTCTTGTTGCTCAGACTGGAGTACAGTGGCATGATCTCGGCTCACTGTAACCTCCACCTCCCGGGTTCAAGTGATTCTCCTGCCTCAGCCTTCTGAGTAGCTGGGAACACAGGTGCGTGCCACCACACCCAGATTTTTTTTTTTTTTGTATTTTTAGTAGAGATGAGGTTTCACTATGTTGGCCAAGATGTTCTCAATCTGCTGACCTCGTGATCTGCCCATCTTGGCCTCCCAAAGTGCTGGGATTACAGGCATGAGCCATTATGCCTGGCCGACCCCATGTCTATTTAAGAAGATTTAATTTAAAAAAAAATTTTTTTAAGAAAAAATCTGTATGTAGGTAGACCCATGTAGTTCAGACTTGTGTTGTTCAAGGATCACAACTGTACCTGTGGTGACTGATATGAAACAGATGACCAAAAAATGATAGTTTTATTTCCCCATCTGGTCCCATTTAAAAGAGGTGTTTAGGTCTGAGAATTTTCACACGTACAAGGTTCCACAGTCAGGATGCCGAGGAACTGCACCCCTCTTGCTGGAGTCCAGCCCTTCCCACCCAACCTGCTGACTGCTGATTTGCCTTCTATCCCTGTCACACTGTTGTCTTGGGAAGGTCGTGTGAGTGGAGATACGCAGCATGGGCTCTTTGTAACTGGCTGCTTTCACTAAGCATCATGTTTTTGAGATCCACCCCAATGCACTGTGTGTCAGTGGCATGTTCCTTTCAATTGTGGAATGGTGTTAGCCTGCACAGGGAGACACAGGTAGTTACCTCTTCATCCATGGGAGGACGTGTGGTTGTGTCCAGATTTAGGCGATTATGCATAGAGTTGCCATAAACATTTCTGCAGAGGTTTTCATGTGAACACAAATTTTCCTTACTCCAGGAAAAACCGTTATGGGACTGCTGGGTCATGTGGTTTAACAGAACTGTCAAAGTGCTTTCCAGTGGCACCTCACTATGGTTTTGATTTGCATTTCCCTAATGATTAGTGTTGATGGTCTCTCATAGGCTTGCTGTCTTCCACATAGAGCGTCCTCTTTGGTGAGGGTCCAAGTCTTTTACCCACTTTTGTTTGGATGGTTTTCTAACTGTTGATTTTAAGAGTTCTTTATATATGTCGGACTACTTTCTTTGTTGGATATGTGGTTTGTAGATATTCTCTCCCAGCCTATAGCTGTCTTTTCAGTGTCTTTTAACAGTGTCTTTTGCAAAGCTATATTTTTTATTTTGATCAAGTCTAATTGATGGATTTTTGCTTTTACATGCATTTGGCATCATGTCTAAGAACAATTTCCCTAACCTCAATTAATGAAGATTTCTTCCTATGTTTTCTTCCAAAACTTTAAACACTCTCTCTCTTTCTCTCTCAGCAAATAAGGAGGAAACATTCATGACAATTGCAGTCCTTGTTTCTGTAGCTGGTCACATGGTCCTATAACTACCTTCTTCCACTCCCCAGTCTGTATTCCCTTTGCCTTCAGGAAGCCTCCGCTGGTTGTGGTTTTTAACCTGGTGGGGGAACCTTCATTCATGAAGGTTCTGGACCATTATTAATCCTGCCTAGATTGGGCTGTTGTGCTTTTCCATTGATCTTAATCACAGCGCATGCCACGAGGGCCCTCCTGTACCCCAGACATGCTCTTCCTCAGTCCCTTGTGAAGCAGCAGTGCAGTTTCTCCTTGGTGATCTGGACCAGCCACCCCCACCAACGTAGTTAACTCCTTCTTTACCTGTTGATCCAGAGGCATGAGGAGCTTAGTGCCACCAGATGGCAGCCTAAACTTCCAGCGCAATGGATCATCCCTGTGTCTCTTGGCGGCAGCATTCCTCCCTCTGGAACTAAGACCTCTAGGCCAGCCGAGCATAAGGTGGTGGGGACAAGTAGCAAAACTTTTGCTAGTGGGTCACTAGGGGTGATGGGGTTTCACCCTGTTGGCCATGCTGGTCTCGAACTCCTGATCTCAAATGATCCACTCGCCTCGGCCTCCCAAAATTCTGGGATTACGAGCGTGAGCTACTGCACCCAGCCTAGTGCTAATCACTTTTTAAAAAGCCATTCTAATATGTACTGATGTCTCATTGTGGTTTTAATTTCAACTTTCCTAATGGCTAATGTTGCTGACCATCCTTACATGTACAAAGAATATTTTCGTTGGTCAAATATCTGTTCATGTCATTTGCACATTTTTAATTTGATTACTTATTTATTTTGAGTTCTGAGTGTTCTTTATTCTTGACACAAGTTCTTTGTCAGATATGTGATTTGCAAATATTTTCTCTCATTCTGTAACTTATCTTTCCATCATCCCAATTGCATCTTTTGCAGAGCAAAAAAAAACATTAATTTTGATGAGGTCCAATTTATCAATTTTTTCTTTTATGAATTGTATTTTGATGTCAAGTCTAAGGGCTCTGCCTAGTCCCTGGTCCTGAAGATTTTCTTCTATTTTTTTTTTCCTGAAAATATTACGGTTTGACATTTAAGCCCATGATCCTTGTGTTATGTTTTGTATAAAATGTGAAGGTCAGGCCAAGCCTCATCTCCTTGCCTATGGATGTCTGATTGTTCCTGCAGCACTTGTTGAAAGGGCTATCACTCCTCTACTAAACTGCTGTTGCATCTTTCTCAAAAATTAATTAAGTATATTTCTGGGGTGGGATCTCTGTCCTGCACCAGTAATTAATATGTCTCTCCCTCCACCAGCACCATACTGAGTTGATTACTGTAGTTGTAGAGTAAGCTTTAATAATTGGTACAGTGATTTCTTCCATTTAATTATTCTTTTTCAGAATTGTTTCAGCTAACCTAGGGACACTTCCTTTTAATATAAAGTTTACAATAAGTTTGCATATGTATACAAAAAACAATGCCAAGATTTAGAATTGTATCAAACCTGCAATTTGAAGGAAGCTGACCTCTATTTTGAGACTTCCCATCCCTGAATATGGCATGACTCTCCATTTATGTAGATATTTGATTTCTTTCAGCAGAATTTTGTAATTTGCACTATATTCTCCTGTATATGTTTTATTAGATTTATTCCTACATATTAATACTTCATGTATTTTGAGCAGTTGTAAATGGTATTGCAGTTTTTATTTTGCTTTCCACTTGTTTATTGTTACCATAGAGAGATGCAATTTGTGTATGTGTGTTATTCTTGTGTATTGCAGCCTTGATATTCTCACTCTTTATATCAAGGATTTTTTTTATTCTGTGGGACTGTTTATGTATATGATTATGCCAAGTGCAAGTAGTGATGGTTTTCTTTCTTTCTTTTCAATCTGCAACTTTTTATTTCTTTTTCTGGTCTTATTACATTGGTTAGAACTTCCAGTACTATCTTGAATTAACATGGTGAAAGGGAACATTCTTGCCTTGTTCCTGCTCTTAAGGGGAAAGCATTCATTCTTTCACCATTAAGTGTGATGTTAACTGTAGATTTTTGTAAATGCTCTTTATGAAGTTGGAGGAAATTACCCCTCTATTCCAAGTTTTCTAAGAGTTTATATCATGAATGGGTTTTGAATTTTGTCAAAACCTTTTCCTATGTCAATTGATAAGATCATATGATTTTTCTTCTTCAGTTTACAAGGCAGAATATGTGTATTGGCTTTTCAAATATTAAAACAGTCTTGCATAACTTGAGTGAAATTCCTCTTGATTGTGGTCTACTACTCTTTTTATGCATTACTAAATTTGATTTGCTAACACTGTCTTGAGGATTTTTCCATCTAAGCTTATGAGCAAAATCAGCCTGCAGGGTTCTTTCCTCTGTCCCTGCCTCCTTCCTCCCTTCCTTCCTTCCTTCCTTTGTGCTGTCTTTGTTCTGTTTTGATATCAAAATAATGATATCATAGTCCTGTCTCTTCTATTTTCTGGAAGAGACTGTGTAAAACTGGTGTTGATTCTTCTTTAAATATTTGGTAAATTCTTCAGTGAAACCATTGGGTCTGGATATATTGTGTTCAGGAGCTTTTTCGTTACAAATCCAATTTATATAATGATTATAGGACTATTCAGGCTTTTATATATTTCATCTTTCCTGAGTTGTGGTAATTTGTGATTTTCAAGGAATTGATTCATTTCTTCCTAGGCTGTCAAATGTATGAGCATAAAATTTTTATAGCATTTTTCATAGATGCAGCCTCTTTTGTGATATTTCTTGTTTCATTCCTGATATTGGTGATGTGTGTGTTATCTCCTTTTATCTTTGTTGATCATCCTAGAGGATTATCAGTTTTATTAATTTTTTGAAGAACTTGTTTTTTATTTCCTTAATGTTCTGCATTGCTTTCCTGGTTTTAATTTCATCAATTTCTGCTCTTCGCTTTCCGTCCTATTTGCCTTAACTTTATTTTACTATTCCTCTTTTAGTTCTTTGACTACTGGTTTGAGAACTTTCCATATTACTAATATAAGGATTTAGTGCTATAAATTTCTCTCTCAGCTCTGCTATAGCTGAATCCCTCAATTGTTTTTTAAGACAGGGTCTCATTCTGTCACTGAAGCTGGAGTGCAGTAGCACAATCTCCACTCGCTGCAGCCTCAACCTTCTGGGCTCAAGCAATCCTCCCTATCACAGCCTCCCAAGTAACTGGGACTACAGGTGCATGCCACCACACCTGGCTAAATTTTTTCAGAGATAGGGATTTCACCATGTTGCCCAGGCTAGTCTTGAACTCCTGGGCTCAAAAAGCGATCCACCCACCACAGCCTCCCAAAGTGCTGGGATTACAGGAGTAAGCCATTGCACCCAGCCACATCCACAAATTTTGATATGCCATATTTTCATTGTGTTACTTGCTTTTTAAAAATTCCCTTTGAGATTTCTTCTTGTCCACATTGTATATAAATGTTTACTGCTTAATTTCCAAGTGTTTGCAGATTTTTCTCTTGTCTTTCTGCAATTTATTTCCAGTTTGATTCCATTGTGGTCAGAGGACACTCTTTGTATGATTTCAGTTTTTAAAAATTTGTTAAGGTTTGTTTTAAGATCTAGAGTCTGTTCTATAAGAGCTTGAAAATAACGCAGTTTGCTGTTGATGGATAGAGTTTTCCATAAATGTTAATTATACCCTATTGGCTAATAATATTGTTTATTTATCCTATATTCTTGCTGATTTTTTTTGTCTAGTGATTTTACAAATTCTGAAAGTGAGATGTCAACATATCCCAACTATAATTATGGATTTTTCTATTTCTTTTTTAAGCTCTATCAGGTTTTGCTTCATGTGTTTTGAAGCTGTGTTGTTTGGTGCACATATATTTAGGATCAAGATATACTCTTGCTCTTTTGTTATTATGTAATATTCCTCTTTTGTCCTAGAAATTCTTTTTGCCATGAACTCTATCTGATATTATTATAGCAACTCCTGCTTTTTTAAAAGTTCCTGTTTGTTTGCATGAAATTTTTTTTTCTGTCCTTTCACTTTGAATCTATTAAATACCTATGCCATGGTATTAGAACTGAATATCTTATGGACATCATATAATGGGTCATATTTTTGCATTTACTCTGCTATTTCTGTGTTTTTCCCAGATTTAACCAAGCTGCAAAGTCTGAGGGCATGGTTCCTAAAATTTCCCTCATTCCTGACACGAACAGCAAGTTTTAGAGGTTTCCAAAGCACCCTAAGTTTCAATCATTTGCTGGAAGAACTCACAGAACTCATTGAAAACTGCTATACACATGGTTACTGTTTACTGCAGGGAAAGGATACAAATCAGAACCAGCACAGAGGGCAGGGCTAGGAGGGTCTGTGAAGCCTCTGTTGTCCTCAGGTGCATTACTCTCCCAGCATCCACGTGTGACAATACCATGAAGCACTGCCAACCTAGGAATCTCACCCAAGCCTTGGTGTCCAGAGTGTTTCCTGGAACTGCATTGTGCAGCCATAATTGACTGATCTGTTGGAGACTGGTTGGAACTCTATCTTCACCTCTCCCTTTCCTGGAATCTGGGGCTGACGGCACATTCCTGGGAGGGCCCACCATGAGCCAGCTGGTAGCATAAACTTCAGGTATAGTCTGAGGGGCCCACCATGAATAGCAAAGACCCTCCTGTCACATGGTCTTCAGGACTACTTTCCAGGAGCCAGGACAAAGGCTAGACCTCTTCTTTGGGCTAGGCCAAATTCTTTACCACACAGAAATCATATTTAGGATTCAAATGTGCCATTTTTATTTGCTTTCTGCATGTTTCTTATCTTTCCTTTATCCTGTTTCATTTCACTTGTCATGGATTACTTAAACAGTTTTTAGCATTTCATTTTGAATTATTTATACTTTTGGGTGCATTGCTTTGTATCATTTTCTAAGTGGCTGCTCTAGGATTGATTATAATATACACATGTAACTTATCACAGCCTGCTGGCATCAATGTTTCACCACTTCATGAGAAATATCAAAAGCTTACTTTTATTTACTTCCCCTTTTCCTCCCCCACTTAAACATGTAATTATCATAAATATTTCCTGTTCAGATGTAGAGCACCGCAGCAGATGATGTTATTATTTTTTGCTTCAACCATAAAATACAATTTAAGAAACTCATCATAGTCTATTATACTTACCATATGATTACCCCTTCTGTTGTTGCTATTTCTGATTTCCTTATTTCCTTTTTGTTAGGAGCGCTTCCTTCAGCCATTTATTAAGGGTAGGTTTTCTGGTAACAAATTATCCTAGTTGTCCTTCCTCTTAGAATATCTTTATTTCCCCCTCATCCCTGAAGGATACAATCACTGAATAGGGTTCTGGGCGGACAGTTTTTCTCAGCACCTGGTGATGGTGTGTCGCCCCCTCTGCCTTGTGGTTTTAGAGAAGCCCACCATCCTCAGAACCAGTGTCCCTTAATGCATCGTTTTTCTCTGGTGGTTTAAAAGATTTTTTTCTTCGTCTTTCTTTTCCTGAAGTTCCGTTATGATGTGTTTATCCTATTTGGGGTTTGCTCAGATTCTTGAATCTGCAGGTTTATTTCTTTCACCAAATTTGGGACATCTTCAACCACTGTGCCTTTGAATACTTTTTCACCACACATTCCTTCCTCTCCTCCTGGGACTCTGGTGACAGGAACGCTGGGCCTTTTGTCACTGTCCCACCCATCCCCGAGGAGGCGTTCATTTCTCAGACTCCTATCTCTCCATCGTTCCTATGGGCCAGCTCTATTAATTGTCCTTGAATCAACAGACTCTGTTCTCTGTCGTGTCCACTCTGCTATTGAACCCAACTGCACATTTTTTCATTTAGTTATTGTATTTTTCAGTTGTATGATTTTCATTTTGTTCTTGTTTCAAGAAAATTCGCCATTGTTTTCTGAAGCACTTTTATGATGGCTGCTTTAAAGTTCTAACATCTGATTTATCTTGGTTAATCTTATTTTCCTATTTAAGTTGTTTTTTGTTTTGCTCTGTTATGTTTTTGAGACAGAGTCTTACTTTGATGCTCAGACTGGTGTGCAGTAACACGATCTCGGCTCACTGCAGCCTCAAACTGCAGGGCTCAAGTGGTCCTCCTGCTTCAGCCTCCTAAGTAGCTGGCACCACAGGTGTGTGCCACCACAGGTGTGTGCCACCACAGCTGGCTAATTTTTAAATTGTTTGTAGAGACGGGGTCATGCTGTGTTGCCCAGACTGATCTCAACTCCTGGGCTCAAGCCATCCTCTTGATTGACCTTCCAAAGTGCTGGGATTACAGGTGAGAGCCCCCTCACCAGGTTTCAAGTTGCTTTTTATGTTTCCTGATATGACAAATAATTTCAAATATGTTCTGGAGATTTCGGTTATTATGTAAAGAAACTTTTTATCCTATTTGAACATTCCAGTTCAGTCCATGGTACCCTTAATTGGTACCTAAAGCAGCCCCAGCCTGCTTTAGGGGAAATGTAGAGTCAATGACAATTTAGTTTTCAAAGCCCTCCCAGTGCTATTCTGGTCTGGTTTGTTCTTCTGGATCTGCTGGGGCTCTGGTTCAATCCCTGCGCATGTTGCTGGGGTTGCCCTGTGCGGCGGGGGTAGGTTAAGGAAACGCCGGGTTCTGGGTGTGGTCTCTGCGCCAAGGTCAGCAGAGCCTGTTGTGGCCTGGGTGTGATGCTGAGGGCCAGGCCTGAGCGGAGCTGCTGTGACATGGATCAGTAGGAATCTCCTCGCTGGGTCTCCAGTGAGATGCCCTTCTCAGTCCTTTCACCAGAGAAAATAGGCTCTTTTTCTTTTCTTTTTTCCCCCTGCAGGTTTTGGCAGTTACAGGTTGCAGGGTTCTCTGGGCCCATCCAGGAGATGAGAGAGAAAAAGAAAACTCAGGGCCTGGTACAGCATCACCCCCAAGGTCCTGAGGTTCCTGGACAGCCTTTCTTCCTCTCCACTTCCTATAGTCCTCTTATGTCTGTTAAATTTTTTCCAGGGTGTCTAGTTGTATTTAGAGGGCAGATGCCACCTCGTCATAGAATGCCGGGGTCCACTCTCCAGGCATTTGGAACGAGTTGCCAGGAGGTCCTCGGGAGGGTGTGACAGTTCACACGCCCACCAGCAGCGTTTCCATGTCTCCATTTCCTCTGCCCCTGACAGCATCTAATGTTATGATTTTTGTTTGTAAATTTGGCTTTTGGTTCCTTTATGAGGGGATTAATTAATACAGGCTGCTGGCTCCTTCCCATGAATCCAAACCTTGGAGATGCCATCAAAGGGATGACAGTTGATGGAGCCCAGAACCTAAGAGGACCCCTGAGAGTCTTGTGGAGGCTGGGCAAACGTGGTGGAGTCTGGAACAGGAGGGGAACCACAGTCTGAGTGGAGGAGGCCACACAGCACAACCCGGGCCAGACTGCAGCTCTCTGCTCCGGGGCCCACCTGGAGCTGTCATCTGCCAGCCCTGCTTTCCTGTAGAAGATCCCACCCATACCAGCCCCAGGAATCTAGGCAAGGCCAGAGCACCTCAGGAGCCTCCTGGAGTGAGGGCCACGACACCTGGGCAGGCTGGCTGGTGGCCCCTGGGCAGCCTTCCTCCCCAGCCCAAGGACAGCCAATTACAACACAGGGCAGCCCTGGACAGACAGCACCAGCTAGAAGGACAGGGGCGTTCCCTGCAGACCAGAGCAGCCACCGGGGATGAGCAAAGAGGGCCCCAGTCATCCTGCCAGAGGCTCTGCCCTGAGGAGCCCCTGCCTGCCTCCCTGAAACCCACCAGGAAGGTGTCAACTCGGGCCTAAGACGAAGGCAGCTGACCGTACCCAGGGAACAGACAGCGGCCTGAGGAAACGAGATAGCGAGGGGAGTGAACTCCGGGAGGGAAAAACCCCAAGGTTTTTCCTTGGAGGAGGGAGCAGATGAGTGGATAAGACCAGTAAATCCATCACATACCCTCAGGATGCAGGGAGAGCGCGGCTGGAATCGGCAGTTATGCAGAAGACGCAGCCGGGGATAGTGGACTGGAACACGTGGGCTCTTAAGTGATGAACTTGGTGGGAAGGTTGGAGACCAGAAAATGAACGAGTGAGACAGGTCAGGCTCTGAGCTCTTCTAGAAGGATCTGAAGGGGTTGAGTAGGCAGAGGTGAGGGAGGAAAAATATTCAGTGCTTAGAAGAGGAAAAATGAATAGATAAGAGGAGGTATCTGAAAAATGATTAGGAACTTTCCCCAATTAAGAAAAGATGCACATCCTCAAACTGAAAGGGCCTGCAGAGCGTTAATTACATTTTAAAGTTAAAATGTTATGTGTAATTTCAAAGAAAAGCATCTACATTTTGAGTCAAAATTGCTAAAAACTTCCAAAGAGAAAAAGCAGGTAACCCGCACAGGAACGGGAGTGGTGCTGACATTAGAATCGCAGCACAGACAACGGATGCAAGAAGAAAGGGAGTGACAGCTTCAGACGCGAGAGGAAAGGATCCTGGAACCCAGGGCTGCATCCTGCTCACCGCTATGAAATATGGGCACGCAGGAAGCCATCCTCAGTCCTATCAGCCCCCTTGAGAGTCAACCCCAAAAACACTCTCGGAGAAATATTTCAGCAAGAAAAAGGAACCGGGGAGTATGCTGCCAGGGCTAGGGAGGAGTGATGCTTCCCCCGCGTGGATGCTTCACTGCCATCTAAGTAAGCAATGACCTCCGCGTGTGCTGCACAGTCCAGCTTCCTCAGAGGCCGTGGTGGCCTGGTGGAGGAATGTGGGCTGGCTGGGCAGCCACAGAGAATTACTGTTTCCATTAAAAGGAAATGTGTTCTAGCCGGGAGCACTGGCTCACACTGTAATCCCAGCATTTTGAGAGGCTCAGGCTGGTGGATCGCTTGAGGTCAGGAGTCTGAGACCAGCCTGGCCAACCTGGTAAAACCCTGTCTCTGCTAAAAATACAAAACTTAGCTGGGCGTGGTGGTGGGCGCCTGTAATCCCAGCACTTTGGAAGGCAGAGGCGGGCGGATCACTTGAGGATAGGAGTTCGAGACCAGACTGACCAACATGGGGAAACCCCATGTCTACTAAAAATACAAAAATTAGCCTGGCATGGGGGCACATGCCTGTAGTCCCAGCTACTCGGGAGGCTGAGGCAGGAGAATCGCTTGAACCCGGGAGGTGGATGTTGCAGTGAGCCGAGATCACACCACTGCACTCCAGCCTGGGCAACAGAGCAAGACCCTGCCTAAAAAAAGAAAAAAAGTGTCACATGGAGACGTGTGTCCGTTTGGGACTGTTTTCCAGCCTTTCCACACTCTCCCCCTCCCCATCTGTCACTCCATCTCCACCAAGCTGTGTTTTGATGTTGTGTTTGCATGATTTGGTGTATCTGGCATTTTAACATTTCATCTTTGCCACTATTTATTATTTTCTGTTTCTTCATAGTAGCCACTAAATTGATTTCAGGTGATATCTCATTGTGGTTTTTGATTTGCATTTATCTAATAATTAGTGATATTTAGTGTCTTTTCATATGCTCATTGGCCATCAGTACATCATCTTTGGGAAAATGTCTATTCAAGTCATTTGCCTGTTTTTAAATCAGGTAATTTGTTGATTTGTTGTTGAACCATGGAGACATATTTTTAAACCACAACATCTATCTTGCAGATTGCGGTGAGAACTAAAAGATTTATGTATGCAGATCATATTACCTGTCACGTAGTAGGCACTCAAAAATTATTACTTGTCTTCTTAGGGTTGTTATGTTAAATAATGTTATGTTAATAACATACGTAAAACTGCTTCTTAAATTATAAAGTGCTATGCAAATGTGAGTTAATACTACAAAGCTGTATGCAAAATATTTTAATATTTTTCTGAGATTCTCCATACTTAAATATATAAATCTTTCCATCTCTAGACTTTATTCTGTTTTTTAGCTGTAATCCCCTTTTTCCATTTTACTTCAAGTTTTATAAAAAAAAAATAGCAGCCAAAATAGAACAAGTAAAGATGGAGAAACAGTAACTAATTTCACTAAAGCAAAGTCAGAGTAAGATCTATTTAAAAATAAAACGTGAAGAAAAGCTGCAATGGATTACATTATTGAAAAATCCTAAGAGAACCAGAACTGCCGTTCCTTCAGAGAATGTGAGTGATGTTGAAAGACTAATAACGTTTGGGTAACATTAATTACAGTGATGTTATAAACTCTGGTATTCCAGTTGCCATAACAACCCGCTATATGTTGGTTTTCTAATGACATTTCGAACGAGTGCTGAGGCGAACTGCATCACTTCAGAACTTTGATTGCTGTCACTCAGTGATTTTAAAATTGAATTGTTTTGTTCTTAAAGAGTCAGAATATGTCACTGTCTTCAGAAATATTCTCAAAATTATGGGAAGGAAGTGATACACATTCTTATACAATTATAGAGCACTAAAAAAAGAAACGTATTTTGTTTTTAATATAAAATTAACAGGTTTTTTAAATAGGGAATAGAAAAAAACAGAAAGGAGAAAGATTATGCTTCATGCTTCTCAGAAGACTTTGTTCCCTTGCAGAATTATTTGACAATAAAATTATTTCTAGAAAAACTCACTTTTCTTGCTTATATTTATCTCGTCTCCATTCTCTCCTTTCTTTTCACCTCCCTGTTTCTTTCTTCCAATGAATTCTTTTAGAAGCCATGGATTCTGGTCAAGGTAGATGCAACACTTTGGAGTTAGTGAGAAGAGGTCATTCCTCCATCCAGCTTTCTGCTTTCTGATCTCTCTTCCCTCTGCTGACCAACCTGTTGCCCAATGGATATAATAAAAGAAAGACTACTTGCCACTGGCTTATATTATATTGGATTTTAATATTCCCAAGAGAATGTGTTAAATATATATTGTGCCACTGACCAGAAGCAAAACATGATTGTAACAGACATGCTTCTAAGTATTTGCTCAGCCCACAGCCTACTCTGCTTCTGCTGCCCAAGGGGCATCCCACCCACCCATCCACAAATATGAATCATTTGATTAAATCGGAGCACCAGAACCAACTCATCCATATGCATTGAGCTGGACAAACACATTCTCTCTTTTTCTCCTCTTTTCCCTCTTTCCTCTCCCTCTCTACAAATTCAGCTAAGGTGAATGCTAACCATTTGCAATGGTGTTTAAAGCAGAACAGTGGTGTTCTGTGGCAGAACTCTGTGCTACAGGACTCTGAAGGGAAATTATGCCCACTGCCTCCCCACCCACCCCTCTTGCCCACCCCCACCACAGTTCCAGCAGCATCTCAGTCTATACAGTGCATCTCAGGCAGTGGAGGTGGCATCATTCCATGTAAAGCATATTTTATGCTCTATAAACCCTGAGCCCAATGCAATGCCATCTTAAGTAGGCCCAGGTCTGCCCCTTGTCCAGATGTGCCATCAGCACCCTTTCAACACTCTCTCCCCTCCCCCTTTCTCTATACTTAAAACTCCCTCTACCCCACCCAGATATCCAAAGGCATTGATCCTACACTTCTAAAGCTCCCAGTGTGGCCAGCTCCTCAGAGGCCTCTCAGGGAAGAGTGAAATGAGCTAATCAACCAGCCTAGGCTTCTGTTGACCCAGAACCAATTCAAGATGAAGACCATGTCTTAGACAGCAGCTGCCAGGGAAATACATGACTTATACAATGACATCAGCTGAAATTTACAAAGGTCATTGCATTTAACTCATTCCTCACCCAAGGTGATGCAAGCATGCTAACCCTTTTCCTCCCAGTCTTCTCTGGATGATCTTCTCCACTTGATTTTACTGGGATGTACATGAACAAGCTAGAGGAGCAGCCTGTGCCTGTTATCTTCTCCTCCTCACTGCTGAGGTCACTCTCCACACTTCTCAACCTACTCTCTTGCTGGGGACACTGAACTGTATGAGTTTCATCAATGGACTCCCTTGCCTTTTGACCTCGAGTTGGGTTCTGCCAATTAGAGGTCATTAATAGGAGATAAGAGGGAGGGAGAAGGAGTGGAGGCTGGGATATTTATGCCTCTGGCTTGATCCCTGAAGTATTGTCTTGAAGTCATCTCTATGTGATTCTCTCCACCCAGGTTCCAGTAACTGATCCCTCCTCATATCATTTCTGGTGAGGAGTTGTAAGTGAACTCAGTGGTGCTACACTGTCCTTTATGGACTCCATAAACACTGCTCATCCTTTGTAAACAGTCCCTTCACTAAACCTCCCTCCAATTGTTCTAATGAAAATGGCCCAACACATTCCTCCTGGGATCCTGAAATGATTCCTTAAATGATGTGGTCTATCCTATCTCCCCTTCCTGCCTACAATGGCCTTGGGCTCTGTCCTAATTCTGCTGCCTTTAAGATTGGTCTACCCTAAACTATATCCACATAACCCCAAGATTGTCCCTTCATGCCTAACCCACAAAGAGAGGTGATAGGAGTTAGGCTGAGGAGTGGGGATAGGGAAAGACAAGGCTCAGCATGGTCCCTGATAACCTCATAGCTTCCAGGCAGATGAAGGCAGGGTGGAGGCAGGCTGCTCTGAGCCCAGCTGGTTGGTGCTCAATCAGAAAGGATATGGGTTGAGCTCAGAAAGCCTGAGAGCAGTGGCACTCTGGAGCAGATCAGAAGCCAAGACTCTAAGAACAACATGCAAATCTGTGTAGAGAACATCAGAGGCTCCTACCCAGGTCTGAGCAAGTGCAGACAGACAGGCTGGTTGTCAGGAGGCACTGATTGACAGGGGAGAGGAGTGAATCAAATATGAAGCAAAGCAATGATCAGTTAGCTCAATCTGCAGATAGGAATAGATTCTTACAGATAGAAATTTAAGTCAGAGTTGCAAGGGGATTTAGAAATCACACACTTCAATCACTTCATTTTTAGATGAGGACTATCAGACTGTAGACACAGGGGTGATGAGCGCAGAACAAAGACAAACACCCAAAACTTCTCACTTCTAGATTAAGGATTTACCTGTGAAACCCATGCTTCTAAAAAGACAGGTCGATTCTACTTTTTAAATATATTTAAACAGAGTAGCTTTGGATGAAAACATGATGTTATGACCTTGATATTTTTATATCAAGTATATTTTCAACGGGTCACTAGAAAAAAAATTGATGTAGTGAAAAGAATCTACACAGGATCAAACTGATAATAACTAAAATGATATATGTTAACTTTGATATTGACAAAAAACTGACTGAAGAATCTCATTGTGTTGGTAAGCCACAAAACTACAAAAGTGAACTCTTTTAAAATTGCACTTTATAGAAATAACACAAAATAAAACTGACAAAGGTGAAAGCTTTACACAGAAAAATTTGTAATTGACTTTAAAAATTGACAAAAGAATCAAATCTTCTTGTCAAAAATTATACCTGCAAAATCTAGCCCAGGAAAATTAGGTTTGGTAGAAAATGACTACAAAAGAAACCTCAAAATTGCTGATTGGAAAAGTTGGAAAGATTTAATAAGGACATAAAATGGGATCACTGAATAAAGTCTAAATTATTTCAGTAAAATAAAAATACTGAAAATTATTTAATGGCACAGGAAGAAATTTGATCAAAGAATTACATTAATTCAAGACATCTGCTTCTAGAAAATAATTTCTTGATAATATTTCCAGAAATGTTGGAATAATTCTGATGAAAATGTTTGTTTTCATTCAATAAAAAATGTCCTCAGGGTCAAAACAACTGAGAGAGAAGTACCTGATGTGGGACTTCTCAGGTAGCCCCCACTCTTGGGGCTTCCAGTTTTACATTTACCAAGTTTAAAGAAATCTAAGATCTCTTTCCAGGATCCTAACAACTTGCCTAGATCAAAATAACATATACTTCAGTGAATGATTTCAGCTGGTTGATAAAATCAAAGTTTACCAGAAGGCATGAAAGTTCAGAGATCCCCTAACCATTTCAAAGGGGGTTTGTACTTTAAAATCAATCTACATGTCACCTCACACCCATTATGATGGCCACTATTTAAAAAGAAAACAGAAAATAGCAAGGGTTAGCACCAATGTGGAGAAATTAGAGCGCTTGCGCACTGTTGGTGGAATGCAAAATGATCCTGCCATTATGGAAAACAATATGGAGGTTCCTCAAAAAATTAAAGCTAGGATTACCATATAATCTAGTGATATGGTTTGGCTCTGTGTCCCCACCCAAATCTTATGTGGAATTGTAATCCCCACGTGTTGAAGGTGGGGCCTGGCAGGAGGTGATTTGATCACGGGGGTGGTTTCTAATGGTTTTGCATCATCCCTCTAGTACTGTCTCATGACAGAGTTCTCATGAGATCTGGTTTTTAAAAGTGTGTAGCACGTCCTCCTTCACTCTGTCTCTCTCTCCTGCCACCATGTGAAGATATGCCTGCTTCCCCTTCACCTTCTGCTGTGATTGTAAGTTTCCTGAGGCCTCCCAGTCATGTTTCCTGTACAGCCTGCAGAAACTGTGAGTCAATTAAACCACTTTCTTCATAAATTACCCAGTCTCAAGTAGTTCTTTATAGGAATGTGAGAATGGACTAATACATCCAGCAATCCCACTTCTGGGCATATATCCAAAAAAGAATTGAAAGCAGTATCTTGAAGAGATATTTGTACATGGGTGTTCATAGCAGCACTATTCACAATAGCCAAGAGCTGAAACCAACCCAAATGCTCATTAAAAGATGAATGGATAAAGAAAAGAGTGTGTTTCTTTAAATGTGATTTTATGCTGGGATCATAGAGAACCCTGGATTTTATGCAAATGAGTGGGAAAAAAATTAACCCAACACAAAAAAGTAGGTTTATACTGATCATACAGGACAACACCTTTCAAGATTGTAAAAAGTTAAAACTTTTCTCTCTTCACATCACCTGTAATGATGACACCCCATAAAGATTTTTCTGTGTGTATCCTTAGTTTTGCACAATCCCCTGGCCCCAGTGCTGCATCCCCATATCCCACTTGAGAAGAATATGCCAATAGTTAAGGCCACACAATAGGGTCAGCACATCAAGCTTCAGGACTTACAGCCTCCATAAAAGAGAAAATTCTCCTTTCTTATGTCACTCTCTCAAAGCCAGGGTTCCTGAAGAAAGGATTTCTGGTGTCATTACACAAAGGAGATCCTGGAAATTAAGGTTTGCCATGGGTTATGTCCAGTACTGGAATAAACACAGAATTATTGAGGTACCTTCCTCTGTCTTCTTTGCAAACTCCTCGTTGCAGCTCCTTCCTTGCAAACCCCTCTGTCTTCCTTGCAAACCCCTCATTGTAGCTCAGAACTCTGCTTTGGCATTGCCTCCTGGTAAAGCCCCTGCTGCATCCACCCTTCCAACCACACTTCCTCACTCTCCTCCGCACCACTTTGGTGCTGCAGGAGTTACACTTTCTGTTGCAAAGATCAAGTAGTCTCGGGTGACCTCTGGTGATGTGGGTGATTGGAAAGATACTTAAGGCAATAAGGAAGCACAGGTATGACACTAGGCAGGTTGTAGTCCAGCCTCCCAGAGCCCTGGGATGTCAGAAAGGGCTCCCCTTTGAGTCAGTAATGGTAATGCCCCCTTGAGAAGAGGGACCTTTGGCCCCTGACTCCCGACGGTGCCATACTCACAGTTTCACTTCTCTCCTTCACCTCTCTGTGCTTCCGCTTCTCACTAGTTCAGCTGTTACCTCCACTTTTGTTTCTTTCTAATTCTACTCTGGTTCTGTAGTTGAGTTTCTCACAGTGGAAACTACCTGTGCTCTCACTGGTTGGGTCAGTGAGTTGCCTCCATTATTGGGCAGAATTCTGCTATTAGACCTCCCAGAGCCCATTGGTAAACCTAAGATTGTAAAAATGTAAAACTTTTCTCTCCTCAACGTCATCTGTAATAATGAAACCCCCAAAATATTTACTCTATGTATCCTGTAGTTTTGCACAACTTTGTGGTTACCTTTGGCCAAGTTACAGATTCTTGATCAGTTCGATCATGGTTACTTACCAGGGTCACATGACAGAAAGTCAACAACTTATGGAAAAAGAACAGTCTTTGCTGCTTTGCTCAGAAGGTAATATGTACAAACTTGCATTATTGCATATATCACAATACAGCTTGTTTCCGCATAGCCCAGTCCCCTACAAGACTAGAACCGTGAGGCCAGTGGTATTTCCTATATTTGCATGTTCAGCATGTAACATACTGCCTGGTACATGGTAGATTCTCAATAAAGCTCTGTTGAAGTTAATTGAAATGAAAGTAAAATCAAAATACCTGAATTCTAATTTTGCTATTTCTTTGCTATCTGAACTAAGATAAGTTACTTAATCTTTCTGAACCTCCCTTTCTTCTTATGTAAAAAGACATAGTTGTGGTAAATATTAAGTAAGATGTGGGCATACCTAGCACAGTTTTGTGTGTGTGTGTATGTGTGTGTGTGTATACATATATATATATTTAAACATATATATATATATTTAAACTGTCTCTTTGTTATACCACTGCCATGTATTGTAATTACATTCAAATAGATCTTCTCTTCCAAACAAAGAGTAAGTTTTAAGGACGGGGTCTGTGTCTTATTAACCTTTGCACCTCCATACCATCACCCAAATTTCTGCTTTTGGTGGGTATTTAAGATAATTAATGGCATGAAGCGCCAACGGATTTATAAACTGTATGTGCTTAAAATCTCCATATATTAACATTTTTAACAATTTTTTAAAAGCAGGAAATATTAAGCATGACAAATTATGGTCAACCCGAGTTTCAATAACTCTGGGTGCCTAGCAATCTTCTAAGAGTCAAACGAAAGCAATGTTGCCTAGGTTGCAGTTTTCCAGTGTGTGTCTCCACCTACTGTATTTACTGGAAAGCTGCTGAAGCGTTCCTTCTAATCTTGAGGTTTTCAAGCGTCTATCTCTGGGACAAGCAAAGCTCTGCATTGGGCACCACAGTCTAGCACACGTTTTCAGGCACCACTAGAGGGCAGGCTAACGCTAACTTTGGGGGCTACTAAGCAAGGGCTTTAGTCTCGAAAAAATGGGTAAACGCACCACTTGTTTCTTGGGTCTGTTTCTAAATGGAAAAGTACATGTGGGCATGTCCAGATTTGTATTTCGTGTTCCCTTGATTCATTATTTAATCCTTCGGCTCACCTTTCCTTTTGTTTTCTATTTCCTCCTTCAAGTTCTTTCTCCTCTGGAGTGTAACAAATAAACCTTTTTTCCCTCCCGCCAAAGGCTTAACCCACAAAAATAAATCAAGATGAAGGAACAGAAGGAAACATTGCATAATTTAGTTAGTGAAAGTTGGACAGCTGAGGTTTCCTTTGGGTTTATTCTAAAATAAAGGATTTTTTAAAGGTTCAACTTGCCTAATTTTCCATACTTTGGGCAGCTTGCCAAGGCGGGAAGGGAAGGGGATTTGCAGAAAGAAGAAAACTGAGAGAGAGAGAGAGAGAGAAAGAGAGTGTGAGAGTGTGTGTGTGTGTGTGTGTGCGCGCGCATAGCGGGGCGCGTTTCTGGGTGTAGGGGATGTTTATAGGGATAGAGGAAGGAAATGAAAAGCAGAAGTTGGGAGTTGGATGGTCACAGAAAGAACACTGGCTTGCAAGTATTACTGGGCCACCATGAGCAGTGCTGGGACACAGCTCCACTGGACAGACACCCCTTTCTGTAACCTGAGAGCCGCCACCCTACTCACACCTCAGGCTCCTCATCAAGCATGTGAGAAATTTGTACTAGATGACCTTCTGGTTCAAATATGAGCCTGTGTTGAGCGAGAGAAAACATGGGGGTTAGAAACGCAGGATGAATATTTGTGGAGAATCTGAGAATGACAAACAGAAAGCAAGCAAGCTAACAAATACACTATGAAGCTGGAAGAGTTTTCCAGCTGACCCAAGTGTAGAAGCAGTTGCCCCATTTAGAATATTTGGAACATTTTCCCTCCCATTATCAGGACCCTAACACCGGGCTGCCCTCTGTTCTACCCTCTGGAAAATCCAAGGGAAAAAGCTACCAAAGCAGACAAGCAAGGATAGAAACGGTGGTGGCATTGCAGGCTGGTCTGCATTGCGGCTATAGAACAAAAATTTCCAACCCAAAATGATAAGCTAATAAAATTCTAAACACAAACTTCCTCTAGCCAGTTAAAACAATGGTTCAAAGAAATACACATCCCTTGGGATCGTACTGCTATTCTTCCATAGTTAGTGTAAGTTCAGTGTTGGTTTTTCATGACTTTTGGAGGCCACTAACTTTCCATTTCACCTGCACAGTTTCAATTACTCTAATCGTATAGCTCTTTAATAATCAGCCTGGCTATGAGTTGGAAGCTTTAACTGCTCTCTGACAATAAGTAGTAGCTAATTAATTGCTACTTATGAACTTTCTATTTTTTTATCTTAATACTTGAGAGTTCTTTCCAGATAATCACTGGAGAATAAGGAGTTTTTACCCCTATGTGGCTATTCCTCTAAAACTAGCTATATTTAACTAGCTCTAAAATAGATGCGAAAGATTGTTACTTTGCGTGCAACAAATACACAGGAAGAATTGAAAGAACTATATTTTAAATTTGTTACATCTGCAATTTCAAGTAACCACCACTAGGGGGTGGTGCTAAATACTTAAATGGTAATTCTCAGTCTGAGTTCAAAAATGCAGATGTCTAGGTCTTGGAGAATCAGGATCTTCTGAGGAAGCCCTTTTTTATTATTATACTTTAAGTTCTGGGGTACATGTGCAGAACATGCAGGCTTGTTACATAGGCATACACATGCCTTGGTGGTTTGCTGCACCCATCAACCCATCATCTACATTAGGTATTTCTCCTAATGCTATCCCTCCCCTAGCCACCCACCCCACAACAGGCCCCAGTGTGTGATGTTCCCCTCCCTATGTCCATGTGTTCTCATTGTTCAACTCCCACTTATGAGTGAGAACATGTGGTGTTTGATTTTCTGTTCTTGTGTTAGTTTGCTGAGAATGATGGTTGCCAGCCTCATCCATGTCCCTGCAAAGGACATGAACTCATCCTTTTTTATAGCTGTATGGTATTCCATGGTGTATATGTGCCACACTTTCTTTATCCAGTCTATCACTGATGGGCATTTGGGTTGGTTCCAAGTCTTTGCTATTGTGAACAGTGCTGTAATTAACATATGTGTGCATGTGTCTTTATAGTAGAATGATTTATAATCCTTTGGGTATATACCCAGAATTGGATTGCTGGGTCAAATGAGTATTTCTGGTTCTACATCCTTGAGGAATCACCACACTGTCTTCCACAATGATTGAACTAATTTACACTCCCACCAGCAGTGTAAAAACGCTCCTATTTCTCCACAATCTCTCCAGCATCTGTTGTTTCCCGACTTTTTAATAATTTCCATTCTAACTGGCATGAGATGGTATCTCATTGTGGTTTTGATTTATATTTCTCTAATGACGAGTGATGATGAGTTTTTTTTTATATGTTTGTTGGCTGCATAAATGTCTTCTTTTGAGAAGTGTCTGTTCATATCCTTGGACCACTTTTTGATGGGGTTTTTTTTTTCATGTAAATTTGTTTAAGTTCTTTGTAGATTCTGGATCTTAGCCCTTTGTCACATGGATAGATTACAAAAGTTTTCTCCCACTCTGTAGGTTGCCTGATCAGTCTGATGATAGTTTCTTTGGCTGTGCAGGAGCTCTTTAGTTTAATTAGATCCCATTTGTCAATTTTGGCTTTTGTTGCCATTGCTTTGGTGTTTAGTCATGAAGTCCTTGCCCATGCCTATGTCCTGAATGGTATTGCCTAGGTTTTCTTCCAGGGTTTTTATGGTTTTAGGTCTTACGTTTAAGTCTTTAATCCATCTTGAGTTAATTTTTGTATAAGATGTAAGGAAGGGGTCCAGTTTCAGTTTTCTGCATATGGCTGGCCAGTTTTCCCAATACCATTTATTAAATAGGGAATCCTTTCCCCATTTCTTGTTTCTGTCAGGTTTGTCAAAGATCCGATAGTTGTAGATGTGTGGTGTTATTTCTGAGGCCTCTGTTCTGTTCCATTGGTCTACATCTCTGTTTTGGTACCAGTATCATGCTGTTTTGGTTACCGTAGCCTTGTAGTATAGTTTGAAGTCAGGTAGCATGATGCCTCCAGCTTTGTTCTTTTTGCTTAGGATTGTCTTGGCTATGCAGGCTCTTTATTGGTTCCATATGAAATTTAAAGTAATTTTTTTCCAATTCTGTGAAGAAAGTCAATGGTAGCTTGATGGAGATAGCATTGAATCTATAAATTACTTTGGGCAGTATGGCCATTTTCATGATATTGATTCTTCCTATCCATGAGCATGGAATGTTTTTCCATTTGTTTGTGTCCCCTCTTATTTCCTTGAGCAGTGATTTGTAGTTCTACTTGAAGAAGTCCTTCACATCCCTTGTGAGTTGGATTCCTAGGTATTTTATTCTCTTTGTGGCAGTTGTGAATGGGAGTTTACTAATGATTTGGCTCTCTGTTTGTCTATTATTGGTGTATAGGAAAGCTTGTGATTTTTGCACATTGATTTTGTATCCTGAGACTTTGCTGAAGTTGCATAAGGAGATTTTGGGCTGAGATGATGGGGTTTTCTAAATATACAATCATGTCATCTGCAAACAGAGACAATTTGACTTCCTTTCTTCCTATTTGAATACGTTTATTTCTTTCTCTTGCCTGATTGCCCTGGCCAGAACTTCCAATACTATGTTGAATAGGAGTGGTGAGAGAGGGTATCCTTGTCGTGTGCCAGTTTTCAAAGGGAATGTTTCCAGTTTTTGCCCATTCAGTATGATATTGGCTATGAGTTTGTCATAAATAGCTCTTATTATTTTGAGATACGTTCCATCAATACCTAGTTTAAAGAAATTTTTAAGGGGTGGTGAATTTTATCGAAGGACTTTTCTACATCTATTGAGATAATCATGTGGTTTTTCTCATTGGTTCTGTTTATGTGATGGATTATGTTTATTAATTTGCATATGTTGAACTAGCCTTGCATCCCAGGGATGAAGCCAACTTGATCGTGGTGGATAAGCTTTTTGACGTGCTGCTGGATTTGGTTTAGCAGTATTTTATTGAGGATTTTTATATCAATGTTCATCAAGGATATTGGTTTGAAATTTTTTTGCTGTTGTTTTGTCTCTGTCAGGTGTTGGTATCAGGATGATGCTGGCCTCATAAAATGAGTTAAGGAGGATTCCCTCTTTTTCTATTGTTTGGAATAGTTTCAGAAGGAATGGTACCAGCTCCTCCTTTTACCTCTGGTAGAATTCAGCTGTGAATCCGTCTGGTCCTGGACTTTTTTTGGTTGGTAGATGATTAATAACTGCCTCAATTTCAGAACTTGTTATTGGTCTATTCAGGGATTTGACTTCTTCCTGGTTTAGACTTGGGAGGGTGTATGTATCCGGGAATTTATCCATTTCTTCTAGATTTTCTAGTTTCTTTGCATAGAGGTGTTTAGAGTATTCTCTGATGGTAGTTTGTATTTCTGTGGGATCAGTGGTGATATCCCCTTTATCATTTTTTATTGCATCTATTTGATTCTTCTCTCTTTTCTTCTTTATTAGTCTGGCTAGCGGTCCATCAATTTTGTTTATCTTTTCAAAAAACCAGCTCCTGGATTCGCTGATTTTTTGAAGGGTTTTTTGTGTCTCTATCTCCTTCAGTTCTGCTAGTTCTCTCCATTGTGATGTTAAGGTGTCAATTTTAGATCTTTCTTCCTTTCTCTTGCGGGCATTTAGTGCTATAAATTTCCCTCTAAACACGGTTTCAGCTGTGTCCCAGAGATTCTGGTACATTGTGTCTTTGTTCTCATTGGTTTCAAAGAACTTATTTATTTCTGCCTCCATTTTGTTATTTACCCAGTAGTCATTCAGCAGCAGGTTGTTCAGTTTCCATGTAGTTGTGTGGTTTTGAGTGAGTTTCTTAATCCTGAGTTTTAATTTGATTGCACTGTGGTCTGAGAGACTGTTTGTTATGATTTCCATTCTTTTCCATTTGCTGAGAAGTGTTTTGCTTCCAATTACGTGGTCAATTTTAGAATAAGTGTGATGAGGTGCTGAGAAGAATGTATATTCTATCAATTTGGGGTGGAGAGTTCTGTAGATGTCTATTAGGTCTGCTTGGTCCAGAGCTGAGTTCAAGTCCTGAATATCCTTGTTAATTTTCTGTCTCATTGATCTGTCTAATGTTGACAGTGTGGTGTTAAAGTCTCCCACTATTATTGTGTGGGAGTCTAAGTCTCTTTGTAGGTCTCCAAGAACTTGCTTTATGAGTCTGTGTGCTCCTGTTTTGGGTGCATATATATTTAGGATAGGCAGCTCTTCTTGTTGCATTGATCTCTTTACCATTAGGTAATGCCCTTCTGTGTCTCTTTTTATCTTTACTGGTTTAAAGTCTGTTTTATCAGAGACTAGGATGGCAACCTCTGCTTTTTTTGCTTTCCATTTGCTTGGTGAATATTCTTCCATCCCTTTATTTTGAGCCTATGTGTATCTTTGCAAATGAGGTGGGTCTCCTGAATACAGCACACCAGTGGGTCTTGACTCTATCCCATTTGCCACTCTGTGTCTTTCAATTGGGGCATTTAGCCCATTTACATTTAAGGTTAATATTGTTATGTGTGAATTTGATCCTGTCATTGATGCTAGCTGGTTATTTTGCCCGTTAGTTGATGCAGTTTCTTCATAGCGTTGATGGTCTTTATAATTTGGCATGTTTTTGCAATGGTTGGTACTGGTTGTTCCTTTCCATGTTTAGTGCTTCCTTCAGGTGCTCTTGTAAGGCAGGCCTGGTGGTGACAAAACCTCTCAGCATTTGCTTGTCTGTAAAGGATTTTATTTCTCCTTCACTTATGAAGCTTAGTTTAGCTGGATATGAAATTCTGAGTTCAAAATTCTTTTCTTTAAGAATGTTGAATATTGGCCCCCATTCTCTTCTGGCTTGTAGGGTTTCTGCAGGGAGATCTGCTGTTAGTCTGATGGGCTTCCCTTTGTGGGTAACTTGACCTTTCTCTCTGGCTGCCCTTAACATTTTTTCCTTCATTTCAACCTTGGTGAACCTGATGATTATGTGTCTCGGGGTTGCTCTTCTCAATGAATATCTTTGTGGTGTTCTCTGTATTTCCTGAATTTGAATGTTGGCCTGCCTTGCTAGGCTAGGGAAGTTCTCCTGGATCATACCCTGCAGAGTGTCTTCCAACTTGGTTCCATTCTCCCCATCACTTTCAGATACACCAATCAAACACAGGTTTTGTCTTTCACATAGTCCCATATTTCTTGGAGGCTTCATTCATTCCTTTTCATTCTTTTTCTCTAATCTTGTCTTCACACTTTATTTCATTAATTTGATCTTCAATCTCTGATATCCTTTTTTTCTGCTTGGTTGATTTAGCTATTGATACTTGTATATGCTTCACAAAGTTCTCGTGCTGGGTTTTTCAGCTCCATCAGGTCATTTATGTTCTTCTCTAAAGTGGTTATTCTAGTTAGCAATTCATCTAACATTTTTTCAAGGTTCTTAGCTTCCTTGCCTTGGGTTAGAACATGCCCCTTTAGCTCAGAGGAGTTTATTACCCACCTTCTGAAGCCTACTTCTGTCAATTTGTCAAACTCATTCTCTGTACAGTTTTGTTCCCTTGCTGGTGAGGAGTTGTGATCCTTTGGAGGAGAAGAGGCATTCTGGTTTTTGGAATTTTCAGACTTTTCACGCTGGTTTCACCCCATCTTCATGGATTTATCTCCCTTTGGTGTTTGACATTGGTGACCTTCAGATGGGGTTTCTGAGTGGACATCCTTTTTGTTGATGTTGATACTATTCCTTCCTGTTTGTTAGTTTTCCTTCTAACAGTCAGGCCCCTCTGCTGCAGGTCTGCTGGAGTTTGCTGGAGTTCCACTCCAGACCCTGTTTGCCTGGGTATCACCAGTGGAGGCTACAGAGCAGCAAAGATTGCTGCCTGTTCCTTCCTCTGGAAGCTTCATCCCAGAGGGGCACCCACCAGATGCCAGCCAGAGCTTTCCTGTATGAGGTGTCTGTTGGCCCCTGCTGGGAAGTGTCTCCCAGTCTGGAGACATGGGGGTCAGGGACACACTTGAGGAGGCAGTCTGACCATTGGCAGAGCTCAAACATTGTGCTGGGAGATCTAGCGCTGTCTTCAGAGTCAAGTCTTGTTTGTTTTTAAGATAATATATAGATTAGTAATGCATATCTTGCAACCCTTTTAAAGATTTCAATAGATTATATAGGATCTTTACTTCTTTATTTCAGTTCAATCCAACTCGGGTGACAATTACTGATGCCTCTCAGGCCCAGGGGTTTGCTGGCCCATACAGAGGGCTTGTGGCTTTGCAGACTCTGAACCTTGATTCTTTCTGATTTAATCTTTCTACTTCCTTCAATCCAAGGGTCACTTCCTCTTATCAGTTGCACAAGAGACACCATCCCACTTGCGTGTCCTGGCAACAGCTTGTCAAGGTGCTCTAGGTCGAAAGAAGAATGCCAATTCTGCTTTCCCTTAAATAAATCTCTCTGGGAAATCTTCCTTTTTAAATAAGTCTCCTGAGTGAATTTGAGGCAGGCTAAGTTAGACAACAGCAATTCAATTCATTTTAACTGGTGTGAGTTCCCTCAACCCCATCCACAAAAGAAAATCTTCCTTTAGAAAATTGTCATCTTTAACTAAAAGGACAATATGAATATCCACATAGAGTGTATCCATGCCCAACCACTTTTCAGCACCTCTACTGACCACCGTCATCCCTTGTCACAGCCACTGAAATCGCCTCCTAATCAGTTCCCTTGCTTCCATTTCCCTGGAATCAATCTCCACATAGTAGCTGGAATTTATTTTTAGAAAGATAAATTCTGTCATCTCACTTTCCTTCTCAGAACCTTCTATTTACTATACACACCCTCAGAATAAAATCCAAATGTCTTACTGTGGCCTGGAAGGCCCTCCATGAACAGGCCTCGGACCACCATATCATTGCCTCCCCTAGCACCTTCCGCCTTCACGCAAAGCTCAGATCCTTGAGCAAGCTATTTCCTCAGCCCGTCCCCAAGATCTGCAGGGCTGACTCCTTCCTCCTGTGCTCAAATGTCACCGCCTCAGAGAAGCTTTTCCTTTGCCTCAGCACCTACCATCAGTCCTGCCAGTGGTGGCTGGGGGCCAGGGGCCAGGAGTCAGGGAGGGTTATTAGAGACAGATTTTGTAGATACTTTTACAATCACAAAGCAGGAGCATAGTATGTGTTTGTTGAATGAATAAATGGATAAACTTAAGCTAAATCTAAGTATAAAGTGGGAAAATATTAATATGTGTAGGTGCAAACTGCGACCCCCTCTTTATTATTATAACTATGCAATGGCTTTTTAACTAAGCTTTCCACACACATTCAACTTTAACACAGCTACCCTTGTCTTGCCTCTTAGGAGTGATTTTCCATAGGGACTTGAGGGAGATGGACCCTTCCAAAACAGGCATTTCAGAATTTTCAGGCACCAAGGGATATATAAAGTTGAAGCTGCACACTCAATATATGTCATTATAATATTTTAATTAATTAATAGTGACTTTAATATGAATAAAGACTTAAGAAAGCAGATTTCAACACAATCTTCTGGTACTGTCTATCCCTAGGGCATTAACGTGTTCCTCTTCCTTGGAGCTGAAGGTTTTTGGTGTGTGGCCCTCCAGAGCCCTCTCCACCCTCCTCTGCTCTGCTGACTCCGTGGCCTGGGAGGCTGACCTTCATGGATTATTGTATCATATGGGTTTCCTTGGTCTCTGTTTCATTTTAGGGTTTGGCCAATGGAAAGTATCAGCAGAAATTAAGAGGATGAAAGAAAAGAGTGTGTTATTTATTCTCCAGCTCACCCCCTGTAGATTGGCAGTGGCTGCTTTCCTCTACCAAAGGGCCCAGTTAAGTCAGACAGCCTCTGCTAAACTACAAGTCTCTCTAGGGTCCAGTCAGTGCTCCCTTCCCTTGCCTCCTTAGGCCTGAGGATGGTCATGGCTCTCTGCAGTTACTGGCTCCAGAATGCCCCCCTAATCCTGTTTGCTCCTTTGTAAATAGCCTCTTCATTAATTTTTCTTCAATCACTCCTTTGGAGTAAGCAATTAGTCTACTACATGGACTCAGATGACTACGCTATTTTTATTTTTATTTTTATTTTTTGAGACAGTCTTGCTCTGTCACCCAGGCTGCAGTGCAGTGGCGTGATCTCAGCTCACTGCAGCCTCTGACTCCTGGGTTCAAGCAATTCTCCTGCCTCAGCCCCCCAAGTAGCTGGGATTATAGGCGAGTGCTACCACACCCAGCTAATTTTTGTATTTTTAGTAGAGATGGGGTTTCACCATGTTGGCCAGGCTGGTCTCAAACTCCGGACCTAATGATCTGCCCACCTTGGCCCCCCAAAGTGCTGGGATTACAGACGTGAGCCACAGTGCCCAGCCCAGATGACTACACTTTATGAGGGTGATGTTGCTGTTCTAGTCTCTTTCTAATGACAAACGGATCTTAAGTTGCTCAGGTGACTACATTTCAGTCCTTTTCTCTCATTGTCTCCACACTGTCTTCTCTTTTCATTCCCGTCCCGTCCCGAGCTGTTCTCAGCAATAACTTCACTAATGTTTACCCATGCCCGTGCAAAAGCCAGCACTCCCAGAAAGTCCTAGCATTCTCCAACTCTCTACAAAAAGGATCTTGGCTTTTGTTTTCTTTCAGAATATTTATATTTTAAGCAAGGAGAGCTTTAAAAAAGAATCAGCTACTAAATATTCTTTAAAATGACTATCCCACTCCTGTCACCCTGTTTATTCTCAACACCCTATAAATGATACTGCTTTAGGCAAGACTGGTTGTGTGAGCATTTAACCAACAAATATCAGCAACTGGGAAGCCCATAAATAGCAGCAGAGAGGACAAATAGGATGACTCATTAAGCCCTCTGAGTCAGACTGGCAGAGACTGGCCTTCCTTCATAATTATGAGGCATTAAACCCATCATCTGTGAAGTCACCTCCAAGTCTCATCTCACCAATATCATGCATCTAGTTTCCTTTGAAGATGTGCAATCTTCCTCCTTGTAGCTACTAAGAAATTAAAGTGCTTGGGCTGAGAGGGCTCCTGTAAGCTAATAGTCTATGTCTTCAGCAATTAACCCCTTTCTGAGATCGGCTGGTGTTCATGCTTTTAGCTGGTCCTAGTCCTGGCTTGGGCACCCTCGATCGTGAGTCCTTAGATAAGTCACTTCATCTCACTGAACTTCTTTCATCTATGATGAGATAACAAAACTTGCCTAGCTACAGAGTTGTCATGAAGATTAAAGTCAATTTGGCCAACTACATGACATTTTGGAAAAGGCAAACTATACAGACAGGAAATAGACCAATGATTGCCAGGGACTCGAGGATGAAAAGGTGGAACACATCATATTTTTAGGGCAGTGAAACTATTCTCTATGATATTCTAATGGTGGATACACGACATTTTACATCTGTCAAGGCCCACAGACTGCACAACACAAGATGAGCCCTGATGTAAACTGTGGACTTCATTTAATAATAATGTATCCATACTGATTGATCAATTGTAACAAATATACCTCAGTAATGCCAGATATTAATAGTAAAACAAACTGCAGGGAGAAGAAAGTATAGGTAAGTAGGAATCCTCTTCACTTTCAGGCCAATTTTTATGTAAACCTAAAATCGTTCTAAAAATAATTTTTTGTGACATTACCAGGCCAAAATGAATTAATTAATTTAATTTAAAAAGTAAAATACAAATAATTTTTTAAATCAGTTTGGATAAGTTATGTGAAAGTATTTGACAAACTCTAAAGAGCTAAATAAACATAAGGCATAATACCCAAATGATCTTAAAGAACTTAATTGTGAAAGTTCATTTGGGGATCTGACAAGTAGAGCCCCAGGTGATGTCTTAATTACCTGTCTCCATGCCTTCGAAGTTGGTTGAGATAGAAGGGTGGGTAGGACTTCTATGACCAGTTTGCCTTCATTGCTGACTGAAAAGATTTCTACAAAATCCAAATCATGGTACAAATATTCTACCCTTCACACAACTACTACCTCTTTGAAATTGCTCAGGAAAGTTTAATACACATACACACTACCTTTCAGCATGTATCCTTTTGATTCTCTGTGGCTCTCACCCTGTCCAATATTTAGCAGTCAAGTTTGATTAAGGTCACATTTTTCAGAGGTGAAAAAGCGATGAGAATATTTCAGGATTAAGTTCAGGATTAAGTTCAGTTAGGTTAGGAAGGAAAATCTTTTCTCCTTGTAAGCCAGAGAATGCCTGACATAGACAAACCTTCTTACAGTGTTTCGTTGTTGGGACCGGGGGCTGAAAGGGTGGCTCTTGCTGGAGCCTGGAAAACATTATCTCTGATGCCCACTCTATCCATGTCAGTTAGGGAGGATAAATTGTAGGGCAAGAAAGAGGACCAGTGGGGTCAAAAATTAGCATAGATCATGCAGAAATGACAGACAGGGACTCAAACTCAAGACAGAGGAAGCTGTTGCCCAGGCCTTGCTAAGTGAGATTAGCTAGCTAATTTCAGCCAACTTATTCTGGGATAGTGGTGGTCAATTGCATTTCCTCTCTTGGATAATGCATGTACTTTTGACAAGAACCTTCAAAGCTTTTGAAAAAGACCTTCAGTGTTCATCACATAATGATCATTGGAACTCTGTTCTAGGAGCTATTAGTAGACTTGCCATGAAAAAAGAAGTTCTATGGTCAAATAATTAGGAAATGCTTAACATGATGGAGCTCTTTGTGAACAATTATGACACACATTCGCACATTTCAGGCTCTCGGCAGCCTGCAGCTAAGAAAACTATTTAGTTTCATTTAACTCCAACATGTCCCAGGTTTATGTGCACTTTGAGCACCTTTTACTGTATGCTTACTAACATTTCCTTGAATACCAGCATAAGAAAAAGTTGGTTTTAAAAAAGGAAGCAGGCTGAACATGGTGGCTCACGCCTGTAATCCCAGCACTTTGGGAAGCCAGAGTAGGCAGATCCCTTAAGTTCAGGAGTACGAGCCAGCCTGACCAACATGGTGAAACCCTGTCTCTACTAAAAATACAAAAATTAGCCGGGCCTGGTGGTGCATGCCTCTAGTCCCAGCTATTTGGGAGGCTGAGGCATGAGAATCACTTGAACCCAGGAGGCAGAGGTTGCAGTGAGCCGAGATCACGCAACTGCACTCCAGTCTGAGCAACAGAGTGAGACTCCATCTCAAAAAAAAAAAAAAAAAAAAAAAAAAAAGGAAGCAACTAATGGTGGAAGTAAAGCCACCCTGACATGATAACAAAAGCGTCATTGTGGGGAAATGACCTCATATCAGCAGTTTCCCCACTCATCCAGAGGTGAGTATGGTGTACTCTCCATGTAGTGACAATAAATATATTTATTAAATAAATAAATCCTGTGTCCATGATTTCCCCACAACTCCATGTTAGATCCTGTTATCATCCATTAGATATTAAAGTGCTTTCAGCCAAGGAGCACTTGGGGGTTAGCTCTAGATTCTGAGGTAATACTACCAGAAAGTAGAAAACGAGGAGAAACAGGTGTCTGAAAAGAGAATCAGAACAGAGAACAGAATCTGATGCGAGGAACTGAAGAAAAGCAAGCTGCAAAACTGACATCTCTTGCACTGCCTCCACTCACTATCTGACTATGTAGACAGAAACATCTAGGTTTTAGGTTGGTGCAAAAGTAATTGCGGTTTTTGCCATTAAAAGTGTATTTAAGAATTAACATCCCTAATGAAAGGTACTAGAAGTTTAAGCCACTCTAAATACTAATAAGATACATAGTGTTTGCACACAGAAGGATGGAAAAACAGGCAATGAGAAAGACTTCTTTGCTGCATATAACTGTCATTGAATGTGGAAGCTTAGTTGTTTGGAATCTAATAGTTGAGACCAGTTTTCAAAACCACTCCCAATTTCAGGGCACAGAATGTCTTAGTAACACCCACAAGTTTCATCTAACGAATATGACTAAAGCCAGAAAGCAGCCCTGAGGTTTTTCCGCAGGGAGTCTGCCCTGCCTGGGTCATACATGCCCCTATGCAAAGTGGGCCCAGCAGCTGTCCCCTCCTGGTGCTCACCCTGCAGGGGAGCAGAGCCAGGGTGGAAACCTGCTATGGGCAGAATGAGGCTGTGCTGGGCTGGAATGAACCACTCCCTTAGAGAATCTAAATGAGGATAAAGAATTTCTGAACCAGCTAGGGGCCAAAACCCATTCAAGAATAGAAGTGGAAGGGACTCAAGCTTTTTAAGCTTCCTCCACAGCAATCCAGACTCCAACATTGTTTCTAAGGAGGCTTTTGTTTCTCTGGAGAACTCTAGTTTCAAAGTGGACTTTCTTGCACAAAGAGAGCTTCAATAAAATTGGTTGTGTGAGTGAGTGTTAAGTGTGAATTCAAAGAAGAATATTAGGCTGGGTCTCAGGCATACGTTACTATTACACTATGTATCTTATTAGTATTCAGAGTGGCTTAAACTTCAAGTACCTTTCATTTGGGATGTTAATTCTTAAACATACTTTTAATGGCAAAAACTGAAATTACTTTTGCATCAACCTAATATCTAGATGTTTCTGTCTACATCTCAGAAGCCAGAGATGCCTCATGCGAACACTGAGGTACCCAGACAAGGACCACATCCAAACAGGAGGAGCACACAGCACAGTGGCTGTGAGCATGGGTTTTCCATGAGATAGACCTCAGTTAGAATCTCAGCCTCAACACTTACTAGCCATGCAATCAGGGGAAATCTTGCTGTATGATCCTGCTGAGACTTGGTTTCCTTAACTGTAGAGACTAAGAATCTCTAACTTACTTGGGGATTCAATGCAATAATAAGTATCACAGACCAGGCACAGTGGCTCACGCCTGTAATCCCAGCACTTTGGGAGGCTGAGGTGAGTGGATCGCTTGAGCCCAGGAGTTTGACCACCCTAGCAACATGGTGAAACCCCATCTCTACCAAAAATACACACACACACACACACACACACACACACACACACACACACACACACCAGCCAGGCATGGTGGCACTTGCCTGTAGTCCCAGCTACTCGGGGGGCTGAGGTGGGAGGATCACCTGAACTTTGAAATTTGAGGCTGCTATGAGCCAAGATGGCACCACTACACTCCAGTCTGGGAGACAGGAGTGAGACCCTGTCTCAAATAATTATAATAATACATGCAATATTTAGCATTTTACCTGGCATATCATAAGTACTTGATATATTGTAGTCATTATAAAGGTCAAATTTCTCTCTAGGCCTGGGTTAGAAAATATGAGGAAAATAGATAAGTTCATAGAACTAATTAGAAAAGAGAGAAAGTTAAACTCTCCTATGACTTGATAAAATGTCTGTTGAAAAAGATAATTTCAGCAGGGTTGCATCAGATAAATTGAACCCATCCCCTGCCACATTTGTCCCTGGGCCTTTATATCCTCAGCATGACATTGAACTGATAGGACCAGAAGGTACTGGGAGAAATGTAAAGATGGGATGTGACTGAATTTGGGGTGGGTGATTTGCTTCATAGGAAGTCTTTGGTTTTTGGAGAAGAAGGCCAAACTGTGATTTTGTCATGAAGCTGTCATGAAACTGGCATTTTATGATCATTTTAAAACTTCCATTATAGTTTTAAATAAGTTCCTGGCAGTCTTCAACTTTTACAAAGTCTTCCTGGAAACAGGGTCAGAAAACAAAAAGGGTGAAGCCAAATCCCTTTCCCCTGACATTTGCTGTGCTAGAAAGACAGACCGGGGTCCCTCTCAAAGCTGGCTGCCCCTCACTTCCCAGTTCCCCTGGTTCCTGTGTGCCATTCAGACACCCCACTGCAGTGCTTTCAGCCCACAGGATAGAAAGGAAAAGCTCATGGCTATTGTTATAAAACACAGTTATAAGATCAATGGAATGGTTTTGAATGCATTTGCTTGCTAATGGGAATTTTTACAAGAGGGAAATAGAAGAGAAATTAGTTCAAATTTCCCTAGACAGATGTCTTAAAGAAATCTGAGCCTTCCAAAATGCTACCAAAAAGCTTTTCTAAATTCTGCAAACGAAGCAAAATTGTTGTTAGTTAAATGCGTAATGTTTATTATCACCAGCATATTAGTTTTAGAGCAAATTTACACCACAGTGGAGTTGTATTTTCATGTACTATGAGTACATTTTGTCAATCGTTAGGGTCCCTGCTAAAATCAAAGTAACAATATAGTAAGCCCATTTTAAAGAAGCTAGAAAACAGTTTTACTATTTTTTTTATTGGTTTAGAAACTTGTGCTGTTGGTGTTTTTTCTTTAATGATATCATTAAGTATCCGGCCAAATATCCCTGTCCAAGGAATTCAATCTTTAATTATTACATTATTTCCATGGGAATAAACACTGTCACTGAGTGTTACAACTTAGTTTCTAAAAGTACCTGGTGGCCAGAAGCCTGCTAGCCTCAGAGATATTTCCACAAGTTTAGCAGGGTCCAAACTAACTGAGTTACATCAGCTATTTGTTGAAAGAGTCCCACCAAAATCTGATAAAAGGCCCCTAAAGGAATCAGAATGTTTGCTTATTTGTCTGTTTAAAGTAGTGTCAGAGTAATAGATCAATACAAAATAGGGGCTGCCTATATTGTTCAGAGGAATAGTATGTTAAAAAATGCTATTCTTGATCAAAGTAGACCCCCAACATGATAACACATAAGAGAATCTGGAATTCTAAAACTACAAGAAATGGGGAGAGATAGGAAGTAAGCACAAAATAATGAGAAACCTTCAATAATCAGCTTTAGTTTAGCTGATCATTGAATGACAATATTTACTATAGAGTTTTCTGTCTTTGCTAGTTTAACCACATGTTCTGTTTTTCAATTCAAGATCAGGGCATTTTTACATTCACTTTAGGGAAATCATATGTCAAGAAACATTTACTTGTATATCCCCAAGCATTCAGATTTCATGGTAAAAATTAATGTATATGACATACATTTACACAACAGTTACTGGTTGCCCCCTCCAAAAAAAGTCAAGGTGCCACAAAGACTGAGCTCTTGATGTGAGGAAAACAGTCATTATAAGCGGTCCTGTGGTCCCTGAGAAAGAGGATTCCTTCACTCTCTGAAGAGGAATTTATTTATACAGCATGAACAACTATCTGCTGAATTTTAATTCTGTCCTTTCTCAGAAATAAGTTTGGGCTCTGCTTTTAAAAACAAGCCCAGGAAATAACAGTTTGCAGGGGCCTGAAATCAGAAGTCTGCAGACTGCTGGCAGGAATGTTCAATATTCATATTCATTGTACAATCGACCTCATGTACCAGAAGGCTTTTCCTCAACTTGAAATCTCAGTGGTCCCTCAAACAAGTCGCAGCATGTGTTTGCCTCACGCGTGACACTAACTCTTCTGGACTGAAACAAAAGCCAAAGGTGAATCCTGGTGACCGTCAAGACTCCAGGAATGACCCAGCATTGATTATGGGCTCCTTGGAGAAATTCAGACAAATATGAGAAGACAAATATGAGAAAACAAATAGGGGTGGAGCCAGAATTTAGGGTGGTGGGGCACTGAGAAACTTTTTTTCTCACTTGCGTATTTTCCATTATTGTTGTAACACATGCTTCATTCACAGGGTATGTGACAATCCAGAAGGACACCACTCTCCAGGATGACCTGTGTCTGAGCGTAGAGTTTCAGAGACCAGGCCATTCACTTGGCACAGTTACCAAGAATGGTCTTTTGGAGTTTTTCAGAATGGTTGGAGTTTCTCAGAGATGCGTCCTCATTGTTTGATTTTCTTACATAATATGTACTCCCTTGGTAATCACATCCGCATTTTTAATTATTAACTATATTCAAATCCTCTGGCCCCTCCACTGAGCATCAATGATATATAGCCAACTCTTGTGGACATCCCCACTGTTGGTCCTACAGCCCATCACATTCAGCAATGCTCGCATCATCCCCCACTCTTTCCCAAACCACTCCCCTTCCTGTCTGCTGCCTCAGCAAATAGCACTTCCATCCAGCAAAGCTCCTCAGCCAGACACCTGACTTTCTCTCCCTCACAACCACCCATGACCAAGCCTGTCAATTTCAACTCCTATTAATAATTTTCCCTGAACCAGTCCACTCCCCTCCATCTCTATCACCACCATCCTGGGGGAGGAGACCACTACCATCTCAAACCTATGTTACACACAGTCTTCCTAACTGAAATGCTGAGCCTCTTCTAAAGCACTAGAACTTTCAAAGGCTCAGTCCTACCTTTCTCACCCTGCTGCTCAAAACCTACTCCCACTGCCATTGGTCTAAACAAAACTCTTTTATGTGGCATGAAAGGCATTTCTTGATCTATCTCTTTTATCTCAAAAATTTCATACCTTGCACTCCATAATCTAGTCATGCTACAACCTAGTCACTGTATTTTGATTACCTGTTTTAATTTTGTTTTTTGTGTTTTTTTTTTCAGAGACAGTGTCTTGCTATGTTACCCAGGCTGGAGTGCAGTGACTATTCTCAATCCTGATCATAGTGCACCATGGCCTCAAATTCCTGAGCTAAAGCCATCCTCTCACCTCAGCTCCAAGGACTACAGGCTCACACCACAACACCTGGCACTCTGTTTACTTCTCTTTTTCCCCTACTAGGTTATAAACTCCTCCAAGGCAAGGATTTAGTCCTGCTCACAGTTGTAACATAACACCTAGCTCAGTGCCTGCACATAGCAGATGTTCAATCATTAAACTAAAATTTATTTCTCCCATAATTTTTTCTTAAGTTTTGGTGGTTCCAATTGAAAAAAAGACAACATGAATGAACATTAACAAATAAATAAAAAGCTCAGATGCATGAGACCTGCCTGCATCCTTATAATAAAAGCTGTATATTCTTCAAGTAATTTTTTCCTGTTTTATGTGAGGAATTAAATATATCAATGTGTCATAGTGTTAGAAAAGGAGAACTTTGGCCTTCAGGTAATACAACACCTAAAAAAGTTTTGTGTCATTTGTATTAGAAAATATCACGTTCCTAGGCTGCTTAGATACTCAGGATTCATTAGCTATTTCTCATTGCAAGTGCCAGAAAAGTGCCAGAAATCCAACTCAATCAACTTAGACACTCCACCCTCACAAAAACTGATAATCGGTTCATGTAATCCAAGAAAAGATTGAATAACCAATACACAGAAACGACAGTCATGCATTTAGGTCTCAGAAAGGACTCAAAACCAAGATTCAAAAGCTATCAGACTCACTGTGACTCTTCTCTCAAAAAAAAAAAAAAAAAACCTGCATACTCTCACTAGTTCTCTCCACTCCATATGATGAGAAAAAAAAAACACACAACACAGTATTATTTTCTAGGGCTGCTATAACAACACACTAAAAACGAGTTGTCTTAAAACAACAGAAATCTATTGTCTTACAATTCTGGAGGTTAGAAGTCCAAGCTCAAGGAGTTGGCAGGGCATGCCCACTCAGAGGACTCTTGGGGAGAATCCTTTCTGGCCTCTCCCAGCTTCCCATGTTTGTGGGCAATCCTTGACAGCCAGTGGCTTTTAGATGCGTTACTCCAGTCACATAACCATCTCCTCCCTGTATCTCTTCACATGATCTTCCTTCTGTGTGTGTCTGTCTCTGAGTCTAAATTTCCCTTTTTTATTATATAAGGACACCAGTCCTATTGATTAGGGCCTACTCTAATGACCTCATTGTAACTTGATTACATGTATAAACACCCTATTTCCAAATAAGGTCACATTCTGAGGTACTGGGGGCTAGGACTTCAACATACCTTTTTGCAGGAGACATAATTCAACTACAACAACGAATAATAACAGTTTCCAATATTTGCATCTAAAGTCTCCCCTACCAGAGGAAAAGTCTAGAAGTCTTTGACGTGGTTTGTGTGGTGTCCCCAACCCCTGGGCCAAACAACAGAGATGGGGGCAGCAGAGTTCTATAAGAACATGATTGTTTCTGTGGTAGTCATATAGATGGGGAAAGTGGTACTATGGAACAGCTATGCTCACATCTGCTTCCCTTCTAGTGACAAGGAGATGGGTTAATGTTAGAGGGTAAAAAAAAGATACAGACACTCAGCAGAGTGAAAGGTAAACATTCACAAGGAGAGGAGTGTTAGGAAAAAGATCAGGAAAGGAGTGTGTGCCATGACATATCAAATGTCTTCTTTAATATTGTAAGTGGGAAACAAAGCAAAGCATTTGTTCAATTTACTGCTGCTACAAATGAGAGATGCATTATTTTTCTTTTTCAGGGGTTATGGTCAACACAATTTTCTCCCTACGTACAGCATTCCATTACATATATTTTGCTCCTAACTTATTTTATATTCCAGAGGTGAAAGCATATAAGAACAAATCAGTAAAAACTGTGGTGATACTTTGGCACCAGAAATAAAGTTCTTTTTTAACATTAAGAACTATGGCTAAACCAGGACAAAGGTGACTCAAAATTTCCTTAACATAAGCTGGGTATGGTAGCACCTGCCTGTATTCTCAGCTACTCAGGAGGCTGAGGCAAGAAGAGAGGATGTCTTGAAGCCAGGAGTTCTAGGCCAGAGTGCACTGTGACCACACCTGTGAAGAGCCACTGCACTCCTAGGCAACAAAGCAAGACCCTGTCTTTAAAAAAAAAAAAAAAAGTTAAAAAAATTTCCTTTACTTAAAGGTTTGTATGACTATTTAGACATACATTGAAGCCAAGTGTGGTGGCTCACATCTGTAATCCCAGTATTTTGGGAGGTGGGGCAGTGAGGATTGCTTGAGGCCAAAAGTTCATGACCAGCCTGGGCAACATAGCAAAATCCTGTCTCTACAAAAATTTTTAAAAGTAGCTGGGCCTGGTGGCATGCGCCTGTAGTCCTAGCTGCTTGGGAGGTTAAGGCAGCAGGATCGCTTGAGCCCAGGAGTTTGAGGCTGCAGTGAGCTATGATTATGCAGCCTGAGTGACAGAGCAAGACCTTGTCTTTAGAAAAAATAAAAGTAAAAATAAAATAAAAATAAAAACATACATTGCAATTGTTCTAATTGTCAAATTTATTTGCTCCAAAATAAAACTGGGCAGGTCTATTTTGGATATCATTTAAACTCCACCATTAAAGAAACTGTATTTTAAAGTATTTTTTAATTATAGAAAAATAATATTTGTTAATTTATAGACATTTTGGAAAAATCTATGAAAGACTGTTTAAAAAATAAAAGTCACCTATAATCCCATCACTAATTACCGTTAACATTTCAATATCTTTATTTAGTTGTTTTCTCTATTTACATAAGTACATTTTTAAAAACTTTGCAGAGTTAGATTTATATTATACAGTTTTTTTTTTTTTTTTTTTTTTTTGAGACAGGGTCTCACTCTGTCACCCAGGCTGGAGTGCAGTAGCATGAACATGGCTCTCAATGCACCTCTGCCTCCTGGGCTCAAGGGATCCTTCCACCTCAGCCTCTCGAGTAACTGGGACCACAGGCACGAGCCAGCACACCCGGCTAATTTTTGTATTATTTTGGTAAGGTTCTGCCATGTTGCCCAGGCTTGTCTCCAACTTCTGGGCTCAAGCAGTCCTCCTGCCTAGCCTCCCAAATTGCTGGGATTACAGGCATGAGCTGCTGCACCCAGCCAGATACATATTAAACAGTCTTATGTCCTCATTTTTTCATTTTATATTTTGGGAATACCATGTTTAATCACAGCATAATATTCTATGGTATGCCATAATTCATATAAACACTATTTTATTGTTGGACATGTAGGTTGCTTATTTTTTTATTATAAGGATGTTCCAAATATATATATGCACAGTTTTATTGTAAGCATAGCTAATCACCCCTAAAAGAGATGCAAAGCTTTCCACCATCACTAAGCAAATTTCAATTTATTCTATACAATCTGCCTCTAAAATGAGATAAAATATCAATCATCACAAGAAATATACCAAAATGCATACATACAATTAACAAACATATCTAATTCCTAATTGCAAATTGTCTCATATGTTGAAAAGTACAGTATTCAAGTTCCTTGAGGGCATGCACAGTGGCTCACACCTAGAATGCCAGAACTGTGAGAGACCAACGTGGGAGGATCACTTGAGGCTGTTACAGTAAGTAGCTAGTCAGACATGGGTGGAGCAGGGCAGGGCAGGAGAGGCGAGGAGTTGGCAGGAGAGGGAAGGAATGGGCAGGAGAGGGTTCCCCCATCCCCAACCCAGGAGTCTTGGGCAGGCGAGGGGGTTGTTAACTGTCTCTCTAAAGTAATAATTGGTCCCAGCCGGTGCTAGGGAAAGGCAGGCTCCCAATAAATAGAAAACACCTGAAACTGATCAACTTCTGGATAAGCTTTCAGGAGTGGGGAGAAGTAACCCAAGATCCTGGAAGTATGCTGATGTATAAAACCCCAAATCAAAAGGTCAAACCACACACTTGTCTTTCAGGTCACCCACTTGGCCCTCTTCCAAGTATATTTTCCTCCCTTTCATTCCTGCTCTGAAGTTTTTTAATAAACTTTCACTTCTGCTCTAAAACTTGCCTCAGTATCTCCTTCTGCCTTCTGCCCCTCAGTCAAATTATTTCTTCTGAGGAAATGAGAATTGAGGTTGCTGCAGACCTGTGGGATTTGCCATGGTAACAAGGCCAGGAGTTCGAGACTAGCCCAGAAAACGTGGTGAGATCTTGCCTCTAAAGAAAAGGGGGGAAAAAAGTTTCTTGACTCTCTTCAGATCTTTCGGAAATCTTATCCCTTGCTAATAAATATTTGTAGAGTCAGAAAGAGGAGATGGCATTAATTTCTGCATTGATGTTTATATTTTGGTGGTATATGGCCGGGTCAAAGGGCTACATATTCCACCTCTGCTCCAGAGCTGCTTATCCAAGTTCTCTTGGATGTAGCTGGTATAACTAGGAATTATGTCCTTAGAAAGACGCAACCCTGCAGCAGCTAGAATTAGTGCAATTTAGTGAGAAGAGCACGGGACTTTCTCTACACCTGGGTTCAAATTTCAATGCCAGCACTTCTGGGAGCAAGTCTTTGGGCAACTCAGTGTTTGTGAGTCAATCTACTATTTCTAAAATAGGGAAGGAGACAGGTGAACATTCATTGAATACAGAGGCTTTACACAAGCGATCTTGTTTAACTCTCACTAAAAAATGACTGATCCTTTTAAAAATAAGCAAACAGGCTCAGACTGGGTAAGTAATTACTCAGACTCATAAGGAGGCAAGGCAGGATTTAATTCCAGATCTGTCTAGCCCTAAAGCTCACATTCCCTGCCCCACTTGACATGTTGCTTCCTGGACTCACTTGGATTGTGGAGAAATTAGTTGGATTTGAATATCTCCTCTAGCGTAGTGAGCACAGTTTTCATTCCTGTAGCAGTTTTTGCATTATAGTTTGTTGGGATAGAGGGTTGGGACCAGGGCCAGGAACAGGTTCAGGCAAGTGAAACACTAACCTCAGGCAGAAAATATAAGGGGCGGGGCACAAAAACTCAGTCGTCAAGATAAATAATATTTTAATATAATATTTTTTAAAATCTAAATTAATGCAAAAATCCATAAAGAACAAAATAACATTTTAAATGAAAACAAGAACTGATAGTGCCATGTTAAGCCATATTGGAGCCTACAACAGAAAAACATACAACCCTATTCACATGTTTTTTACGTATTTTTGATGTTTAATTATGATAAATTCTATGTAATAATACCTTGGCCGGGCGCGGTGGCTCACGCCTGTAATCCCAGCACTTTGGGAGGCCGAGGCAGGTGGATCATGAGGTCAGGAGATCGAGAACATTCTGGCTAACACGGTGAAACCCCATCTCTACTAAAAATACGAAAAAAATTAGCTGGGCGCAGTGGCGGCCACCTGTAGTCCCAGCTACTCAGGAGGCTGAGGAGGAAAAAGGCGTGAACCCAGGAGGCGGAGCTTGCAAGTTTGCACCACTGCACTCCAGCCTGGGCGACAGAGTGAGACGCCATCTCAAAAAAAATAAAATAAAATAAAAATAATACCTTAAGCAGATATCAATTTTTTTCAGAACACTAGTTTTAAAATATTGAAACAATTGAAAAGTAGATATATTAAAACTCACATTAAGTATTTGATTTATACCAAAATCAGAATTTACTATAAATTTATTTTGCTGGTTTTAATGGAAGCAAACTCATAGGTGATATTTTTATCTAAGTCAATAACCTTTTTTTTTTTCCAAGACAGAGTTTCACTCTTATTGCCCAGGCTGGAGTGTGATGGCGCCATCTCGGCTCACTGCAACCTCCACCTCCTAGGTTCAAGCGATTCTCCAGCCTCAGCCTCCCGAGTAGCTGGGATTACAGGTGCTCGCCACCATGCCCAGCTCATTTTTTTGTATTTTTAGTAGAGATGGGGTTTCATCATGTTAGCCAGGCTGGTCATGAACTCCTGACCTCAGGTGATCCACCTGCCTCGGCCTCCCAAAGTGCTGGGATTACAGGTATGAGCCACTGCGCCTGGCCGCCAATAACTGGTTTTAAAAATACGTAAAATCATGTATCCAGTTATATAGTATGTAGTACACATCCTTCCTTTTGCAACATGGTTCAGCACAGCACTGGCTGGAACTATGACTTGCGGCTACCAGCCTCAAAGATTTTCAGGACTCTGTAAATGGAAACAGATCATCTGATCATATCTGACTCCTCAGGTCTCCTGTTACAGCTCCTTTGGGTAGTAGTCTCTCTTTTCATAGAAGAATATCACTGTCAGGCTGACTTTTAGGGTCATGTTCCTAAAGGCCAATAAAGACAAGCTGTGTTCTCATGACAACAGGCAGAAATCAACCTCACACATCTGCTGACACTCCAGAACATCTATGTGGACTTCCAAGCACTAAATATCTGAGAGTTACTGTCTTTTAAATACCCCCAAATGAAGGTTTTGAATAACTTTTCTGGAGCACATATGTTCATTTAACATTTATTGAAGACTACATCCCTACTAAATAAAACAGCCTATATCTGGGTTTGCAGATTCTATTATCCAGCCTTATGTTCTTTACCAATTAGTAGTGTATGCCATTATATCTTTTGTCATTTAAAAAGCATGTATTATGCATCTTTTATTACAGTAAGGGCTATATAATAATGCCTTATGCTTTTACGATTTTTCACTTGCATTCAATGCTTATGAAGGTTCTATGAGGTAGGCAGATATGATATTTTATACAAATTAACATATTAACTTTTTCTTTGAAGCTGCAGATTATCTAGTGATCAGCCCTCTCACTTTTTACTCACTGTCCTCTGATTCCAGTTCTAATGCTCTTTCCACACTGCCAAGTTGCCTCTTCTAACAGACACACAGCCTAATAACATAGGATTTCAGATAGATAAGTGTAGACAAAACAGGACTGTACAGTTGAATATAGGATGTCTGAAGTGATCAAATGAATATGAAATTATGATATAACCTGCCAAGGAAAAGATGAATTTTCCAGAAGGGAGAGTGAAGAGGAGTCATAGGGAGACTCAGTCCCGGACACAGCCACAGAGCTGGGGAGGCCCAGGCCTGCCGGAGAGGTGGTGCCATGTGTGGTTACCATATGGCTGGGGGCAGAGGCGTGGTCAGCAGCACAAGCAGAGCTCAGAGCATGACAGCCTCACCAGAGACAAAAAGTTGAGTCACAAACCTGGCCTAATCAGAATCAAGAAACAGACCAGGCCGGGAGCAGTAGCTCATGCTTGTAATCCCAGCACTTTGGGAGGGTGAGGTGGGTGAATCACAAGGTCAGGAGCTCGAGACCAGCCTGGCAACACAATGAAACCCTGTCTCTACTAAAAATACAAAAATTAGCTGGGCATGGTGGCAGCTGCCTGTAATCCCAGCTACTTGGGAGGCTGAGGCAGAAGAATCACTTAAACTAGGGAGACAGAGGTTGCTGTGAGCCAAGATTGTGCCACTGAACTCCAGCCTGGGTGAGAGAGCTAGACTCCATCTCAAAAAAAAAAAAAAAAAAAAAAAAAAAAAAGAAAAAAGAAATAGACCAATTCTCAGAATGAGTGCCAATGAGAAGACCTAAGAAAACAAGAGACAGGCCAGGTGCGGTGGCTCACGCCTATAAACCCAACACTTTGGGAGGCCGAGGCAGTTGGATCATGAGGTCAGGAGACTGAGGCCATCCTGGCCAACATGGTGAAACCCCCTCTCTACTAAAAATACAAAAATTAGCTGGGTGTGGTGGCAGGTGCCTCTAATCTCAGCTACTCGGGAGGCTGAGGAATAAGAATTGCTTGAACCCAGGAGGTGGAGGTTGCAGTGAGCTGAGATCACACCACTGCACTCTAGCCTGGAGACAGAGTGAGACTCTGTCTCAAAAAAAAAAAAAAGAAAAAAGAAAAAAGAAAACGAGAGACAAAACAGACTACTGTCTGTGATTTCTTTAAAAAACCAGGAGGAGAAGATAAAACTGTTCTGGAGATGGATAGTGGTATTGGTTGTACAATAATGTAAATGTTTAATGTCACTGAACTATACATTTAAAATGGTTTAAATGGTAACTTTTATTATACGTATATTTTTAACATTATATATTGTGTTATATATAATTGTGTATATGTGCACAATTTTTAACATAAATACTTTTTTTAAATCAGACTCAAGTTGACCTAATTCTCTGTACCTCAGAGGAAAATCCTCCCAGGTCCAAAAAAGAAAAACAGTCAGGAGCTGCTTAACCAGTGATTGAGGTGAAGGCAGGGGAATTATACCCACCTAAAGGGACAATTTGTAAGTTTGTCAGTATTTGGGGGTTTTGCTTTATTTTTCTTTTTTGAGACAGAGTCTCACTCTGTCACCCAGGCTTGAGTGCAGGAGTTATCTCAGCTCACTGCAACCTCTGCCTCCCAAGTTCAAGCAGTGCTCGTGCCTCAGCCTCCCAAGTAGCTAGGATTACAGGCACATGCCACCACGCCCAGCTGATTTTTGTATTTTTAGTAGAGACAGGGTTTCACTATGTTGGCCAGGCTGGTCTCAAATTCCCAACCTCAGGTCTGCCCGCCTCAGCTTCCCAAAGTGCTGGGATTACAGGCATTAAGTCACCACGCCCGGCCTAGTTTGTTTGTATTTTGGCTCTAACAATGAATGGGGTACAACTTGCTGGGGTCCTGGGATTAGAGATGCCCAATAATATGTGGGTCAGTCATGCAAAAAAAAAGCTGTCTCATGTCAGACATGAGCTTTGAATGTCTTTCAAGTAGATGAAAAACCTATTTACAATGATGTGAGCCTAAAATCTAACTTTAATTTACACATAAAACACAAAATACTTTTGAGTAGTTTTAAATGCACTGAATTTTCTAGGAATACAATTTATAAATGCAAAGAAAATTGGATGTTGCTTCACTGAATTTTTAGGAATGCACTTTATAAAGGCGAGGAAAACTGGATGTTGCTTCACGCATAACTTAACCCATTGTAGTTCATCATTCTGGAAAATTACAATACCAATGGTGATGCCCCCTGTGGTATTTGAGTCATCAATGTATCACTCCAGTATCAGTCTGCATTTGTAGGTGTCACATTCACAACGATTCTAGGTATAAGTACAAGCATCTGGCTAAAATGTATGTTTACTGTAAATTAAATTTTTAAAATTTCTCCTTTATGTTACGCTTAGGTTATGTGTGAGATTAGCTTGTATTTTCTATTCACTTTCTTTTAGAATAGAAGATATTTATGAAAGAAAAAGGGTACTGAGACTGGTGAAATGTATCTACATCCAACCAGGATGGCTTGGAGTACACAGCTACTGGGGATTTTCCAAGCACTATGGGAGAATGCATGCATTGTATTGTTTGAACAGAGACCACCCATTTATCACTGACATCCCGTATCCCTTTTCTGCTGCTATCGGGGGTCTAACCTTGTCCAGACAAGCCAGAAATATCTCCTTTTCTCTTCCAAGTACTCTGCAGCATCTTCACTGGAAAAGAGGAATTTCAGATGTTTGACTATTAGAGGCTTGACAAGGGCAGAGAGAGCAGACACCTAGCAGAGTTTAGTCAGTAGAAACTCTAAGGAAAAGGGCAATGATCAGTTAAAAAAGGTCAGCTATAATATGTTTCCTATCCTCAAAGTCTGCTGCTAAATTAAGGGAAAAAATTTTAAAGATGTATGCAAAAAATTTATTGTACGCAATCAAAAGGAAGTTTAATTTAACTACAATTGCAATTATTCATGAGGTTTATCAATTTGTACATCATTTTGAAGAATTGACAAAATTTTGTATGCTCCTTGGGGAGACACTGAAAAAGTCATTAAAGCAAAGGAATCTCATTAGAAAATGTGGTCTCTGTCCTCACTGAAAGTTAAAGAATGACTCAACTGACAGATAGTTTCCATACTTCCTTTTTAATAGTCATACCTTATATCAGTTTGCTCTCATACATGAGAATGAGAGACCACATATTTTTTCAGAGCAATTTAAAAACAACTGTTTCGCCAAGCGCGGTGGCTCAAGCCTGTAATCCCAGCACTTTTGGAGGCTGAGGCAGGTGGATAATGAGGTCAGGAGTTCAAGACCAGCGTGGCCAAGATGGTGAAACCCCGTCTCTACTAAAAATACAAAAATTAACCGGGTGTGGTGGCAGGTGCCTGTAATCTCAGCTACTCGGGAGACTGAGGCAGAGAATTGCTTGAACCCGGGAAGCAGAGGTTGCAGTGAGCCGAGATTACACCACTGCCCTCCAGCCTGGGTGACAGAGTGAGACTCCGTCTCAAAAAAAAAAAAAAAATCTGTTTCTTTCTACAACCACTTAAAAAAACAAACCATGCCCAAACTTAATTTCATAAACTAAATTGCACTACTAAAAACCAAAGGTTAATTGGAAAATTTAAATTTTCATTACTTTACTGCAGACTTGTTTGTAATAGTAAAAACAAAAATGGAAACAACCTAAATGTCTCAGCAGAAACATAGTTGAACAGGAGACAGTGCATTCATAAATGGAATACCATGCAATCTCCAAAATGATCTTATAGAATTACCAATGTTATTGAAAGATGTGCATGTGCCAGGCATGGTGGCTCATGCCTGTAATCCCAACACTTTGGGAAGCCAAGGTGGGTGGATCACTTGAGCCTAGGAGTTTGAGACAAGCCTAGGCAACATGGCAAAACCCTGTCCCAACAAAAAATACAAAAATTAGCTGGGCATGGTGGCACACACCTGTAGTGCCAGCTACTTGGGAGGCTGAGGCAGAAGGATCACTTGAACTCAAGAGATGGGGGTTGAAGTGAGCCAGAATTGCACTACATTCAAGCCCAGGTGACAGAGCTAGACCATGTCTCAAAAAAAAAAAAAAAAGCAAGAAAGAAAAGAAAGAAGGATGTGCATGATATATTTAATCATGAGAACATTACTGAAATCCTCTAAAAATGCATATATTTACACATATGTGCTTAGAAAAAAAAGGAAACACACCAAAGTGTTACAAGTCATTGTAACATTGCATTTGTGTAACAACATTTTCTTTGGCTTGTCTGTAATTTCTAAATTGTCTGTGTATATATTACTTTTGCAATAAAAACAATGTCTTATCAAAATAAATACATTTAACTTTTATTGACAGTATTTTCTCTGGGGCTGTCATATTTTTTTCTAAGGCCTCAATAAACTAAACAACTAGACAGAACAGAAGGTAAAAAAGTGAAGCTCATTTTCTTTATTAGTTGTTTATGACCATCATCATCTCTACTCATCACCTTCAAGCACTAAGCTGGTTCTTCCCCACCATCCCTGCCTCATGAATGGCATCACCTCGCTGGCTGCCCAAGTGAGAATTCGTTACCTTTACCCATCCCCAATCCAGGGGCCCACCTCTGTCTAATGTTTCTCCATAATAGCTCCCAAACTCTAACACCCTCCTTATCATTTCTACCATCTTGTTGTTCTATGACTGCAGCAAGCCCTGTAACTGGCCTCTCGGTCTCCAGGCTTCTCCCGACCTAGACTTGCTTACATTGCTGTACAAGTGAGGTTTTTAACATTCTCAGTCTTGTCACTCACTGCTTAAACTCCTTCAAGAATTTTCACTCCCTTCAGGCCAAGGGCCATATGAAGCCCTTCAGATGTGGCCCTTGCTTGTGTCTCCAGCCCCATCTCTCAGCAGTGCTCTTAACACTCCCAACCATCATGAGCTAATTACTATCCTTCCAACATGCCATGCTCCTTCACACCCCTCTTGCTTTGAACACGCTGACTCTTCTGCCTGAAATGTCTTTCCCAGTTCCCTTCTGATATGGTTTGGCTGTGTCCCCACCCAAATCTCATCTTGAATTGTAGTTCCCATAATCCCCACATGTTGTGGGAGGGACCTGGTAGGAGCTAATTGAGTCATGGGGGTGATTACCCTCATGCTGCCATTCTCATGGTAGTGAATGTGAGTTCTCACAAGATCTTATGGTTTTATAAGGGGCTTCTCTCCCTTTTGCTCAGCACTTCACCTTGCTGCCACCATGTGAAGGACACGTTTTCTTCCCCTTCCACCATGATTGTAAGTTTCCTGAGGCCTCCTCAGCCATGCTGAACTGTGAGTCAATTAACTTCTTTCCTTTATAAATTACCCAGTCTCGGGTATGTCTTTATTAGCAGTGTGAGAATGGACTAATACACCCCCTTCACTCACTTTTCAGTCTTCAAAGTACACAGCCATCCTTTACTGCCCCATGCAGCACCTTCAGGTCTTGAGCTCTATGCAGGGAGGTAAGCCACGGAAGTCACAAGCACATCTTTTATACTAGTGCACACAACTGAAAACTCACAGACTGGTAAAAGCACATCTTTTATACTAGTGCACACGGCTGAAAACTCACAGACTGGTACCAAACCAGCTTGGTTCTGTTCTGCTTCCACTGCCTGTCAAGACTGTGTGCTCTGGGCAAGGTACTTCAACCACTGGGTCTTGGCTTCCTCATCTGGAAAATGAAAATAAAACTGCAACTTTAAAAAGCTTTTCTGAAATCAAATGCAGCAATGTACATAAAAGGCAAATAAGCTCACCCTATGTTTTACCTAATTTTCTTTTTATCCTGCTCTGTGTATTTCTTAAGCCAACCATCTTACTTCCTTTTTAGAATGCATCAGGATAGACACAAATAAATGGAAACACTGTTACAAAGCCCCTGCTCACACTTCAGAATTCAGATTGCATTACCTCCTCCAGGAAGTCTTCCTTAATCACTCTCTGCTCGAGTCTCATTTAGATGATCTCCTGTGTGCTTGCATATCGTCTGTGCATACCTCTGTGTTGGGAGGAGTGGTAAGAGATGGGGCTGGAGACTCAAGAAAAGGCCACATCGGAAGGGCCTCGATCCTTTCCCCTGAAGGGAGTAAAGGCTCTCCAAAGAGTTTAAGCAGTGAGTGAAAAGACCAGCCAAGAATGTGAAAAACCTCATCTGGACACAAGGCAAAATAATTATTTTCTCCCTTGGTTACCTTTTCCATTCCCTTTCTTCAAGGGAAAGAACCATGTCTTATTTTACTTGGCATCAGCAGCTCTCAGAACAGTGGCTTGACCAATACCAAGCATTCAATAAATGTTTATTGAAGGAATGAATCAATGGCCACCCACAACCTATACCTCTTACAGCCCATTTAATGTCCTTTAGCCCCTTCCATAGGTATTTGCCTGGAATGTTTGTAAGATTTTTGAAAATCTCAGAAACAACACCAGCCCTCCACCCATGGGAAGATGTGTCTCAGGCTAACACCTGTGCTCTTGTTGATGCCATTGCCCCAAAGAAGACCAACCTCTCCTTCTTGCCCATATAAGTTGGCTCTAATTTCAATGCTGCTGAAAACCTCTCCTCTTCCATAAATTATTTTTTCAGATTGCTCCAGCCCATTGTGATCTTTCATCCTTCAAACTCCTTTAACATCTAGGGCCTACACCATTAATCTGACAATCACCATATACTGCTTAATATTGTTGTAGTCTGCTATTTACCTTCAGTCTGCAATTTAACTTCCTTAAGTTTATTTCTTGTTCCCCATTGTAGAGAATATCTCCCTTAAATAGCTGCCAAGTCTTGCCAATCATGGCCTTTCCTGTAGTGTTTTGCACGTGTGTGCACACATGTGTTTTTAATTGACTTGAAGACAAAGAGACTCCCCTTAGGAAGCTTTATTTTCTGTTTGCCACTTCCCTAGGACCCAAGATACCCTGATCCCCCTCAATTCATTCTCTGCCTTTCCCTGCTCTTCTTCCCAAGGAAACGAACACCTTCCAACTTTATCACCAGGGCTCCTTTGCCTTCTGGCTTGCATTTGGGTTCAACCAATAGAAGGCACAGATAGGTAATAGATGGGTGGGAGGACAGTGGTAGGGAATATCTTCCCTTGCTTGGCCCATTCTGTAGTGTTTGAGCCCTTCCAGGACTATGGCTTCTCTAGGGCAGCCCCTCTTCAAAAGCTGTGCCCCCCAGGTAAGCTCCAATGGCATCATTTCTTCCCTTTACCTTTTCAGGCCTGGTGCCTCAACATCCTTTTTTGATGCTTTTAACTCTGCCCACACATCTGTAAATAGTCCCTTTATTAAAGGGACTTTTATCTCTTCAAAAATCCCCACATAATATTCTGTTTCTTGCTGGGATCTTGACTAACACAGGAACTTTCCGTTTAGTTGGGATAAGACTATGGGTACCTTATAATTTATCATCCAAGCCAGGACACTTCTGAGAGTGAAAGGGGGCACTATTAATTAAACCATGGCAATGGGTGCAAATCAGAACTGTTCCAGGCCACCTGGAATGAATGAGCATCCTAGGTAAGTCAGGCACATAAAAAGATAATTGTTATAATGAAGAGATAAAAACATTTCTAAAAGAGATAATATTACCACATAGATTAAGGTAAGTGCCAAGGGTGGAATAGACTTTCAGTGCTACAGCCATTCCAAGACGAGAGAGATTATTTCTCCTGGGGAAAGACATTTGAGATCAGCGGGTTGCTCAGTTCTCCTCCAACTAAATGAAGTCACACAATCCATGTGTGCTTGGCCGATTTTGTAGATTTTCTCCAAGAAATTTCAGTCCCAGTTGGGTCCCCCCCTCCACCCCTCACACACCCAGTGTAACTGTTCCTATTTCTTTCTATTGTTTAGGCGCTGGGTTTTTAAGGAAAGCAAATTAATTTAAATCTTAGCCAATTATTCCTTTTAAAAAATACCAAATGCATTCCTGATTCAATTATAAATCATTGTAAATATCTTATATTTTTGATTCTTTAAACCATGTTTTAGCTTCATTTTGCAAAGATATCTAAGAGGTGATTTATAAGCTTTGCTTGCAAATACAAACATTTCTGCTAGTAATCACATAAAGCCTAAGTAACCCTAGAAAGCTTCTCTATGTATATATGTATGAATGTTTACCTTGTCTCTTAAACAAAAGAGTTTGACAATTAACCAATACTCTAAAGCCTTGTCACCCTGAGCAAAGTGAACTCAGACTCATTGCACCCCTACTCCTAGCTGATTCAAGGCTACTTGGCCAGGAAATGTTTCTAATGCTCACGTTGCTAGCAGAAGCAAGTTACTATGAGCCCCAGTGTGTGACTTCAGGCTTGCCAAATCACTGCTTTGTTCAGGCATTTCATACTCAAGAGAATACTATATAAAAACACCCACACCCCTGCCCAGGAGCAGAGAGCACCATGTAGATTAGGGCAGCCAGAGTTCCTGCTCTACTTCCCAACCAGCTGGTGCTGGTTAGGATTAGACCAGTGGGAGTTGGGGTTGAAAAGATCCCTCTTGAGAGAGTCAGAAAGGGTCCTACAAGAACAAGACAAACAGGAAAAGAAAGCAGTAACTAGAGACAAAAAGCAATGGCAGATGTGCAAATCACACACAGGAAATAGCACAAATCAACACAGATAGTGTCAATAAATGCAAATAGTGTCAGATATTGAACCAAGTAGGTCCATGCTATGCCCAACATCAGAGAAAACAGTTAAGTATGCCCCACCATGTACCTGAAAGGCAGATAGCTAGAAGGCTTTTGCTATTGACACTAGCAAGACTCTATCTCAAACAACAACAAAAAAGTCAAATAGAGCTTTAAACCTGAATCATTTACATCTTTACTTTATAAAATGTAAAACTACTTTTTTACCCAAGACTTAAAATATAGAATTATGTAACTTCTACTTTAAACAAAATGAAAAATGTTTTGAGTATCAAACGGTATATTATCTACCTTGTAGACAGCATCTTCATCTAACACTGCCACTGTGTTAGCAATTCTTAAATGATATCAAACTAGAAGAAAAGCTGCTCCTACATTTTTTTTATTTAATAAGACAAATTTGGCACTAGACTTTTTCTAGAAATAGCATTCATAGTATATCGATATAATAGTAACATCTTGTTTTAGGTTAATGAATTCCTATTAGGAAGCAGCACTTTGGGACAGTTTTTAGTGACACCAATTTAATTCTATCATTATAGTCCTCTGACCTGCCTTAATTCCAGGATCATCTGAATTCTAGGTTAAGGAATGATTATTAGCCAAACCTGGAAACAACTACAAATTGTACTATTATAGGTAACCCCAATTTAATAGTGACTAAGAGTCATAATTGTCACCATTAAAAATAGCCGTATTTCATATCTTCAACACTATTCTATTTACAATACTTTATATAATAAATAACTTATAGCAATATAGTAACAGGCCTCAAAAACATTCTTTTTTCACTAATTCCTAGAGGTTTCTTGGTTACTTTCCTTCATAAAAACACATCAAATGTGAGTTTACACTATGAGAAAAACAGGATTTGAGAATAGATAGATATTTTCCATTATGGCACAAATGTTTAAGGCTGAGTCAGCACCGGAAATGTTCGGGGCCTGAACGTGTTTGTTTCCTCACATTAGTATGAAGAACTGTCTGAGTTGAGAAGGCTGAAAGGGGAGGGCAGCTTCTTCTTGACCTGAAGCCGTGCAGCCCCGACCGATGGGAGGCACAAGGTGCTGGCTGACTTCTGTCTGTTCTTTCTGGTGCCCCAACTCAGGAAGGAAAGCTTCTTGGAGATTTTCTGGGTTTTATCAGTTTTGTCATCATCATCAATGGCTAAGCAGATCATGGAGTACGTTTTCTACATTCCCACGGAGTATGTGGCACTCTTATTATGCTGCACATAGAAAAGAAAGAAAAAGGGCGTCAGGCATCATCAAGATAGATGATACAAACTACGAAGTCTGGCCAGGCGCAGTGGCTCACACATGTAATCCCAACACTTTGGGAGGCCGAGGAAGGTGGATCACTTGAGGTCAGGAGTCCAAGACCAGCCTGGCCAACATGGTGAAACCCCATCTCTACTAAAATACAAAAATTAACCAGGTGTGGTGGTAGATGTCTGTAGTCCCAGCTGCTTGCGAGGCTGGGCACGAGAATCACTTGAACCCAGGAGGTGGAGGTTGCAGTGAGCTGAGATCGCACCACTGCACTCCAACCTGGGCGACAGAGCAGGACTCTGTCTCCAAAAAATAAATTAAACAGACATAATTAGGAAACTCAGGTGACCAATGCTTATATAGAATTAGGTTCTTAAAACAAGGACAAACTGTTTTTCTTTTTTGAGACAGGGTCTTGCTATGTTGCCCAGACTGGTCTTGAACTCCTGGGATCAAGTGATCTTCCTGCCTTGGCCTCCTGAGTAGCTGGGGCTCTAGGTGTGTGCCACCAGGTGCAACAAGGATAATTTTTTGTTTGTTTTTTGTTTTTGTTTTTGTTTTTTAAGACGGAGTCTCACTCTGTCACCCAGGCTGGAGTGCAGTGGCACGATCTCAGCTCACTGCAAGCTCCACCTCCCGGGTTAATGCCATTCTCCTGCCTCAGCCTCTCTGAGTAGCTGGGACTACAGACGCCCGCCACCACACCTGGCTAATTTTTTGTATTTTTAGTAGAGAGGGGTTTCACCATGGTCTTGATCTCCTGACCTCGTGATCCACCTGCCTCGGCCTCCCAAAGTGCTAGAATTACAAGCATGAGCCACTGCGCCCGGCCCAACAAGGATAATTTTTAAGGAATGTACTCAATAGTAACAATTTAAGCTTAGGAGCCACAACTCACATTTTAAGGTTCTTCTTCTATTTGAGAAAGTAATAATTACTAATGGTCACGAATATGAAAGTACAGGGTGGGGTGCGGTGGCTCACGACTACAGTCCCAGCTACCTGGGAGGCTTAGAGGGGAGGATTGCTTGAGCCCAGGAGGTTGAGAGTATAGTGAGCTGTGACTGTGCCACTGCACTCCAGCCTGGGCAACAGAGTGAGACCTCTGTCTCAAAAAAAAAAAAGGGTAGGGGGGACGGGAAGAGGGGAAAGGAAAGGGAAAAGGAGAAGGGAAGGGAAGAGGGGAAGGGAAGGAAAAAAAAAAGAATATGCAGTGAGCAATAGGTCTGTCACCTGGGGTTCTAGGCCCTCCATGTTATACTTCTAGAGATGATGTGCATGTACAGGTATTTTTGTATGTACATAAGTATATTACCATTCATTTTCTTAAAAGGAATAAACTACACTATTCTACACCTGATTTTCTTTTTTCTTTTTTTTCTTCTTCTTTTTTTTTTTTTTAAGACGGAGTCTCGCTCTGTCGCCCAGGCTGGAGTGCCATTTTCATCATTTTCAAGTGTAGAGTTCAGTGGCATTAACTACATTCACATCATTATGCTCCACTGCCACCATCCATCTCTAAAACTTTTTCATCTTCCTCAGCTGAAACTTTGTACAATTAAACACTCTCTACTATTAACTTTCCAAGAATCATGTAGGATTCAAACTGGAAATCTAAGGAAGCTTGCTTTCTGAAGACTTCCACATGGGCTATCGCCAGCTTCTAAGGTTTGCCTAACATTGAGATTGTTTAGTTCGCCACATGTTTATTGATGGTCTACTATGTTCTGGCACTAAAATTAGGCATACAATATATCGCTGCAATAGTTGAGGACATTGTTCCTAATATAAACCCTAAGAGGGGCCGGGCACACTGTCTTACACCTGTAATCCCAATACTTTGGAAGGCTGAGGTGGGTGGATCACTTGAGGCCAGGGGTTCCAGACCATGGTGGCCAACATGGTGAAACTCCATCTCTACTAAAAATACAAAAATTAGCTGGGTGTGGTGGTGCACACCTGCAATCCCAGCTACTCAGGAGCTGAGGCAGAAGAATCACTTGAACCCAGGAGGCAGAGGTTGCAGTGAGCCAAGATCACATCACTGCACTCCAGCCTGGGCGATGGAGTGAGACTCTATCGCCAAAAATAAATAAATAATGAATAAATAAATAAAATAAACCCTCAGGAATCTGAGTTATGCAGCAATAAAGTAGGGGGTACTTTGAGCCCCTAAGGATGGAGATGCCTCTTCCTTTTCTGGAAAACTGACCACTAACTCCACCATGTTTTACACAATGTCATTTAAAACAATAATAAAACGAATAATCCTGGAGACAGATGTGAGGCCTGAAAGAATTTCCCAACCCTCAGCTGCTCAAAGTCCATTGTGTATCAAAACCACTGCCTTATAAATACCCTCAGTTCTCTTCCATCTGCCCCCAGCAATGCTAACTCGCTCATCTCCACCCTCTGCCTCCCCTAGGGCCTGTATCTGAAAGGTTGTTCATTGCTGGAGGACACTCACCAAGGCTTCCCTTGGAATTCTAACCTGACCCCAAACCTCTAATAGGCACCCATTTCCTGGCACTCTTGTGTGTCCCTAGTAATTTCATTTCCTTTTCTCCTGTATTCTTGTTTCTTATCTTCACTCTCCTCCTGAAGCCACTCACGCACCCTCCTGAAATCCCTGCCGTATACTTCATGGCATCCATCCCCCAAGACCAAGCCCTTCTGTGTGCCTGGATCCCATTCCCTCTCTCCTCCAGGCACCCTTGCCTCCCAGATCTCTACACACACACACACACACACACATACACACACACCCCTCTCTCTACACACACACACACTCCTCTCTCTACACACACACACCCCTCTCTCTACACACACACACACCCCTCTCTCTACACGCACCCCTCTCTACACACACACACACACCCCTCTCTCTACACACAAACACACACACACACTCCTGCAATGCGTACCATCACATTCTTTGAAAAGCCTTTCTTGGCTGGGCGCAGTGGCTCACGCCTGTAATCCCAGCACTTTGGGAAGCCAAGGCGGGCGGATCATAAGGTCACGAGATTGAGACCATCCTGGCTAACACAGTGAAACCTGCCTCTACTAAAAATACAAAAAAATAGCCGGGCGTGGTGGCGGGCACCTGTAGTCCCAGCTACTCGGGAGGCTGAGGCAGGAGAATGGTGTGAACCAGGAGGTGAGGCTTGCAGTGAGCTGAGATAGCGCCACTCACTGCATTCCAGCCTGGGTGAAAGTGAGACTCTGTCTCAAAAAAAAAAAAAGTAAAGCCTTTCTTGACCTTATTCCCCTCCAGGTCCACCCCAGTATCATACCCACATACACTCTCTCTCACTCCGGCAATGAGTACCACTACTTTCTTTGAAAAGCCTTTTTTTTTTTTTGAGACAGAGTCTTGCTGTCACCAGGCTGGAGTGCAGTGGCCCAATCTTGGCTCACTGCAACCTCCACCTCCAGGTTCAAGTGATTTTCCTGCCTCAGCCTCCCAAGTAGCTGGGATTACAGGCACATGCCACCATGCCCAGATAATTTTTGTATTTTTAGTAGAGTCAGGGTTTCACCATGTTGGCCAGGTTGGTCTTCAACTTCTGGCCTCAAGTGATCCACCTGCCTCAGCCTCCCAAAGTGCTGGGATTACAGGCTTGAGCCACTGTGCCCAGCTCCATTTACTATTTCTTTCCACGCCACCCACTCCTCACTCAAATCCACTGGGGTATCCCTCTAGAACTCTTAGGACTTTATAGAGCACAGTTTAAAACCACTGTGTAGGCCTAACCCTTCCATCCCCTGGATGAGAAAACCAAGGCCCAGGGAAGGTATGAACGTGCTGAAGGTAACACAGCTTGTGAACGGCAGTCAGGGCCTAATTCCAGAGCTTGATTCCAAGCTTAGATTTGTTCAGCTAGGGATCCCCACTGTAGTCAAGAGGGTAGCCAAGGGCAGCAGGTCATCGGTTCAGCCAGAGTGCTAGGATAAATGCTCTCTTTATTTGATTTTGTTTGAAAGGTTCAGTCACTAAAAACAGTGCTTGGCTGTCATTATCTAAAATCCTTATCATAAAAATTAATAGACAAAAATAAATTATTTTTTAAAAATTATTTTTAAAAAGCCAGGGGCTGGGCATGGTGGCTCACTCCTGTAATCCCAGCACTTTAGGGAGGCCAAGGCAGGCTGATCACCGGAAGCCAGGAATTCAAGATCAGCCTGGCCAATGTGGTGAAACTCCATCTCTACTAAAAATACAAAAATTAGCCAGGCATCATGGTGGGTGCCTGTAATCCCAGCTACTCAGGAGGCTGAGGCAGGAGAATTGCTTGAACCCGGGAAGCGGAGGTTGCAGTGAGCCAAGATTGTACCACTGCACTCCAGCCTGGATAACAAGAGCAAGACTCTATCTCCAAAAAAAAAAAAAAAGAGCCAGGTACAGTGTCTCACACCTGTAATCCCAACTATTCGGGAGGCTGATTCAAGAGGGTCTCTTGAGGCTAGGAATTCAAGATCAGCTGGAGTAACTCAGTTAGACCCCATCACTACAAAATTAGTTAAATAAAAGACAAAAGGAAATTACTTTTGGCCTGGTGCACTGGCTCATTCCTGTAATCCTAACACTTTGGGAGGCGGAGGCAGGAAGATTGCTTAAGCCCAGGAGTCTGGGACCAGGCTGGGCAACAAAATGAGAGTGTCACTACAAAAAAAATTAAAAATTAGCTGGGTATAGTGGTGCACACCTGTAGTCGCAGCTACTTGGGAGGATCTTTTTTTTTTTTTTTTTTTTTTTTTTTTTTGAGATGGAGTCTCCCTCTCTTGCCCAGGCTGGAGTGCAGTGGCATGATCTCGGCTCACTGCAACCTCTGCCTCCTGGGTTCAAGCAATTCTCCTGCCTTGGCTGCCCAAGTAGCTGGGATTACAGGCACCCACCACCTCCACACCCAGGGTTTCACCATGTTGACCAGGCTGGTCTAGAATTCCTGACCTTAGATGATGAGAAGGGAGGACCTTTTGAGCCCTAGAACTCGAGGCTGTAGTGAACTATGATTGCACTATTGCCCTCCAGCCTGGGCAACTGAGTGAGACCCTGTCTCAAAACAAACAAAACAAAACAAAAAACAACAACAAAAGAAATTATTTGGCCGGGCATGCTGGCTCCTGCCTGTAATCCCAGCACTTTGGGAGGCAAGGTAGGCGGATTGCTTGAGCTTAGAAGTTAGAGAACAGCTAGGGCAACACGGTGAAGCCCCATCTCTACAAAAAAATATGAAAAATTAGCTGAGTATGGTGTTGCATGCCTGTAGTCCTAGCTACTCAGGAAGCGGAGGTGGGGGGATCACTTAAGCCCAAGAGTAAAGGCCACAGTGAGCCAAGATCGTGCCAGGGCAATGAGAGCGAGACCCTGTCTCAAAACAAAAAACAAACTTTTTTTTTTCTAGACAGGGTCTTACTCTGTCGCCCCAGCTGGAGTACAGTGGCACGATCTCGGCTCACTGCAACCTCTGCCTCCCAGGCTCAAGTGATTCTTATGCCTCAGCCTCCCACGTAGCTGGGACTGCAGGTATGCACCACCACATCCCGCTAATTATTGTATTTTTAGTAGAGACAGGGTTTTGCCATGTTGGCCAGGATGGTCTCGAACTCCTGGCTTCAAGTGATCCGCCTGCCTCGGCCTCCCAAAGTGCTAGGATTATAGGAGTGAACCACTGTGCCCAGCCTAAAAACATTTTTTTTTTGAGACGGAGTCTCGCTCTGTCGCTCAGGCTGGAGTGCAGTGGCGCAATCTCAGCTCACTGCAAGCTCCGCCTCCTGGTTTCACACCATTCTCCTGCCTCAGCCTCCCAAGGAGCTGGGACTACAGGCACTTGCCACCACGCCCAGCTAATTTTTTGTATTTTTAGTAGAGATGGGGTTTCACCGTGTTAGCCAGGATGGTTTCGATCTCCTGACCTCGTGATCCACCCGTCTCAGCCTCCCAAAGTGCTGGGATTACAGGCGTGAGCCACTGCGCCCGGCCTAAAAACATTATTTTTAAAAAAATTAAAGACATCCTGCTGGGTGAAAAGAATAAACATCATGATCATGGTTATCATCATTATAATGCCTATTGTGAATTGAAATGCAGCTCATGTTTGGCCCTCTTGGAAGGGCTTTATGTAAACTCAGTTTATCCTGAGGCTCACAGCTATTCACTGACTTGCTGAAGGCCACACAACAGTGGTGGAAAGCCAGGATACACATCTAGACTGTCTCAGTGCAGAACCCTTGCTTTTAGCTACTACAGCAGCCCCTTCCTTGGCCTGGTGTAAAGATGTCACAGGCTTGAAAGTCAAGCCTTTGCACCTCTCACAGGGGGCAGGGCATGCCCCATAAACTCAGGCCTCTGCTGACGGGGTCCCTACTCCAACCTTCAGTATGTGGCTCGGCTCTTTTCTCTAACCTCCTTTTGGACAAACTTCTTTTCTGTTTCTGCTGTGGACCTTAATCACTTGTCCATAAACTCCATGCATTTTGTCCCTAAAAATATAATTTCTTATGATCCCTTCTCCCAAGATGCTCTGCGTCCCTTGACTTTATCTTCTTTTAAAATTTGAACTATATCAGGTGCGGTGGCTCACGCCTATAATCCCAGTACTTCGGGAGGCCGAGGTGGATGGATCACGAGGTCAGGAGTTTGAGACCAGCCTGACCAATATGGCGAAACCCTGTCTCCACTAAAAATACAAAAATTAGCCAGGCATAGCAGTGCCCGCCTATGATCCCAGCCACTCGGGAAGCTGAGGCAGGAGATTCACTTGAATCCTGGAGGCAGAGGTTGCAGTGAGCCAAGATCACGCCACTGCACTCCAGCCTGGGCGATAGTGCGAGACTCCGTCTCAAAAAAAAAAAATTTTTTTGAGATATAATTCACATACATGCATAAAATTCACCATTTTAATACCCTTCTGTGGCTTTTATTTATTATTTTTGAGACAGGGTCTTGCTCTGACACCCAGGCTGGAGTGCAGTGGTACAATCATAGCTCCCTGCAGCCCCAACCTCCCTGGGCTCAAGTGATCCTCCGGCCTCAGCCCCCCAAGCAGCTGGGACTACAGGTGTGTGCCACCATGCCACGCTAATTTTTTTTTATTTTTTGTAGAGACACGGTCTCGCCATGTTGCCCAGGCTGGTCTCGAACTCCTGGGCTCAAGCGAACATACAGCCTCAGCCTCTCAAAGTGCTGGAATTACAGGTGTGAGCCAGTATGCCAAAACATCAGTGATTTTTTAGGATATTCACAAAGTTAGGTGACCATCACTACTACCTAATTTCAGAATATTTCCATCCCCCCAAAAAGAAACCTTCTACCTTATGACCCTTCAGCAGTCCCTCCCTACTCCCATTGCCCAGCCCCAGCACCATCTACTTTCTGTCTCTGGATTTGCCTATGCTGAGCATTTCATATCCACGGACTCAAAATCCATTGGCTCTCTGGCCCTCTCTCAACTGACTTCTGTTGCCACCTCTCCACCAAAGTGTCTTTTCATCCTGCTGCCAAATACAATAGGCACAGCTAAGCCAACCTCATTCTCCACCTCTCAACTGCATTCAATGCAACCCATCACTCTCTCCTGCAGAGCTTTCTCCTCTTAATTTGAGAAGCTCCTTTCCTCCGACATCTCTGAACTCTCCTGCATTTTCTTTGCACTTGCTTCTCTTCCAACTGACCTCTAAATGTTTAGCCCTCAGCCCTAGCCCCCTTGCAGGGAGCTGCATTTTGTCTCACAGCCTCAAATATCATCCGTGTGCAATGATTCTCAAGTATTTATTTCTAGCTCTGATTTCTTCCTCGAACTGAAGACTTCACATCCAGTCTCCTCCTTTATGCTTATGTCTGACTGCTAATAGCATCTGAAACATTCAAAACACGACTCTTGATTTCTCTCTCCTTCACCTCCCTCACACCCATTACCCATCATTATGAAAAATAACCAGGCCGGGCATGGTGGCTAATGCTTGTAATCCCAACACTTTGGGAGGCGGAGGTGGAAGGATCGCTTAAGGACAGGAGTTTGAGGCCAACCTTGGCAATATATCAAGGCCCCATCTCTACCAAAAAAAAATTACAATAGGTAAATAAACAAATTAGCCAGGCATAGTGGTACACACCTGTAGTTCCAGCTACTCAGGAGGCTGAGGCAAAAGGATTGCCTCAGCCCAGGAAGTCAAGGCTATAGTGAGCTATGATTGCACCACTGCATTCCAGCCAAGCAACAGAGTGAGACCCTGTCTCAAAAACAAAACAAAACAAAACAAAAAACAAACAAAAAAACAACAAGAGAAAAATGAAATTAAAGGTAGAAAAATAACCACTACCCATGAGATTGATCAAGCCAAAAACTGAGGCCTCACCTCCCTGTTCACTGTCTCCTTTACACAAATCATCCACAAATCCCCCATCAGCTCTACCTCCAAACTATGTCCCAGGGACACTCATGTCTCTCCAACTCTACAGCCAACCCCATCACCTCAGCCACTAACTTCACCAGCCTGGACAACTGCCATGGCCAGTCTCCGGCAGCAGACGCCCTTCTAAAACAAACATCACGCCATGCCATTCCCCTTCTGAAAATGCCCAGTGGCTTCCAAGCTCCCACCACTGCCGCCAAGGCCTCCTTCCTACCTCACTTCCCATGGCTCCCTTCCTTGTCCTGGTGCTCTTGCCAAAAGGCCTTCCTTTTGCCTCTCTGGTAGGAGAAGGTTATTCTGCTGCAGGGGCCCTGTACCTGTAGGTGCCCCTGCCCAGAAGGCCTTTCTTGTCTCTCTGCAACTGGCTCGAACCTCCTGGTCACTCTCATGTCTGTTCCAGCCCTGCCTAGATAGAGCCTCGCCTCCTCTCCAGTCATTCCACCCCATTACAGGTCTTTTTTCCTTTACAACACTTATCAAAATCCTGACCATTTATTTACTGACTTAGTGCCAGCTTCGTGGGGAGGGGCAGGGACCTTACCTGTGTAATGTAAACTGGAGCTCTGACACCTAAGAGAGTGTCTGGCACCCAATTGATCCTCAATCAATATTTGTTGAATGAATAAATGAGTGTTGTTACAGAGGGAAGGTCGAGGGTACGGCATTAAGTGTGGCAAAGTGCAGAGGAGAACGTCATTAAGTGTGGCATGAACCCTAGCACTTGGGGAAAATTTTAGGGTTTTTTTGCAGACAGAGTCTCACTCTGTTGCCCAGGCTGGAGTGCAATGGTGCAATCTCCACTCACTGCAACCTCCACCTCCCAAACTATTCTCCTGCCTCAGCCTCCTGAGTAGCTGGGGTTACAGGCGTGCACCACCATGCCCAGCTAATTTTTATATTTTCAGTAGAGACAGCGTTTGCCTTGTTGGTCAGGCTGGTCTTGAACTCCTGACTTCAAGCAATCCACACACCTCAGCCTCCAAAAGTACTCAGATTACAAACATGAGCACCGTGCCCGGCCTCACGTGGGGAAAATTAAAGGTGGTAACTGTGCAGGTGAACTTGAGAGACTCAAATGCTTCCCAAATCTCCCAGAACATGGCTGACACTGCCTCTAGGGCATACAGAGGGATTGTCTTAACTTTCACAGGTCGTCTTAAGCTCTTCTGTACCATTAGAATTTTTTTTTGTTTTTTGTTTTTTTCACTATGAGTATGTATTACTTTTGTAATTAAACAATTTGATCAGAAAAATAGATCAGTTGATTATTTTATCCACAGGATATTTTTAAAAGTTTGCTAGCAGGGTGCAGTGGCTCACACCTGTAATCCCAGCACTTTGGGAGGCCAAGGTCAGAGGATGGCTTGAGCCCAGGAGTTCAAGACCAGTCTTGGCAACACAGCGAGAACCTGTCTCTACAAAAAATAAAGAATGGGCTGGGCATGGTGGCTCACACCTGTAATCCCGGCACTCTGGGAGGCCGAGGTGGGTGGATCACGAGGTCAGGAGATCGAGACCATCCTGGCTAACACAGTGAGACCCCATCACTACTAAAAATACAAAAAATTAGCCAGGCGCGTTGGCAGGCACCTGTAGTCCCAGCTACTTGGGAGGCTGAGGCAGAAGAATGGCGTGAACCTGGGAGGCAGAGCTTGCAGTGAGCCAAGATTGCACAACTGCACTCCAGCCTGGGCGACAGTGCGAGACTCCGTCTCAAAAAAAAAATAAAATAAAAAATGAATAAATAAATAAATAAAGAATGAGCCAGGGGTGGTAGTGGGTGCCTATAATTCCAGCTGCTTGTGTGGCTGAAGTGGGAGGATCACTTAAACCGAGGAGATAGAGGCTGCAGTAAGCCATGATCATACCACTGCAAACCAGCCTGGGCAATAGGGCAAGACCCTGTCTTTAAAAAGAAAAAGTTTGCCAATTTTCTCTTTGACCCAAGGTGAGCACATTACAGTGATTACAAGCCTGGGAGTCCAGTCATTTGTACCATGTTACACAGGCAGGAGACAGAGGGTCTAGTAAACACCCCTGGGGCTGAACTCATGTAGATTTCACTCCACACCACTACTGACTGCCCAGGCAGGTGTCAGTGCTCACCACGGATGACGTGGAGTCCAGGAGGCTCACGGCTTTCATCTCGATCTTGTCCTCACCAAAGCTCTTCAGCAGCTTCATAACCTCACTCACCGTCAGCCACTTACAATCCACAAGCTGAATGGAGACAATATAATCTCCTTCCCGGGCTCCTGCCACCTGAAAAAGTATTGTTGAAAATAAGTCAACGTTTTGTTCACTCAAATCCTTGAATCAGTCCCCATTAACAAAATAGGTATTTGCATAAGTTCACATCAAGAACGCAAAAATTCATGTTGGGTGGCTGAGACGGGTAGATCACTTGAGGTCAGTAGTTCAAGACTAGCCTGAACAACACGGTGAAACCCATCTCTACTAAAAATACAATAATCAGCCAGGTGTGGTCGTGGGCACCTGTAGTCCTAGCTACCTGAGAGGCTGAGGCAGGAGAATTGCTTGAACCCGGGAGGCAGACATTGCAGTAAGCCGAGATCGTGCCACTGCCCTCCAGCCTGGGTGCAATTAAAAAAAAAAAAAAAGTCAAAATTGGCCAGGCACAGTGGCTCACGCCTATAATCCTAGCACTCTGGGAGGCCAAGGCAGACAGAATATTTGAGGCCAGGAGTTCGAGACCAGCCTGGCCAACATGGCAAAACCCCGTTTCTACTAAAAATACAAAAATTAGGCCAGGCCAGGTAGCTCACACTTGTAATCCCAGCACTTTGGGAGGCCGAGGTGGGCAGATCACAAGATCAGGAGATCAAGACCATCCTGGCTAACACGGTGAAACCCCGTCTCTACTAAAAACACACAAAAAATTAGCTGGGCATGGTGGCACACACCTGTAATCCCAGCTACTCAGCAGGCGGAGGCAGAAGAATTACTTGAACCCAGGAGTTGGAGGTTGCAGTGAACCAAGATCGCGCCACTGCACTCCAGCCTGGGCGACAGAGCAAAAATGTGTCTCAAAAAACAAAAACAAAAACTAAAATTAGCTGAGTGTGGTGGCACGTGCCTGTAATCCCAGCTACTCAGGAAGCTGAGACAGGAGAATCACTAGAACCCAGGAAGCAGAAGCTGCACTGAGCCCTGAGATCGTGCCACTGCACAATCACGACTCACTGCAGCCTCCACCTCCCAACGTCTAAAAAAAACTAAAAACAAAAAAAAGACAGTAAAAATTAATCCTTTTCTTTTAGGGACTGTAGCACCCATGAGGCCTTTCACATCAAGTCAGGCCTTTGACATGGGTGAACCCGCCCTAAATTCAATCACCCAGATATCTGTGTTTGCTGCCAACCAAGAAAAGCATGTGCTTACCGAGGAAGAGCAGTAAGGATCCAGGAAGTGAACCTCAATGGGGGCATTCCCTCTTAAGGAGAACCCCAAGTCCCCTTCTTCTGCAGTGAAGCGGATGCTTCGAGGAGGCGTCTACTGCTTGTTAGCCAAAAACACAGATAAGGGGCCCTTTGGAAGAGAGCATCATTAGGTGTAGGATTTGAAGGCTGGATCAGACACTTGAAAGCTAAAGGGAATTTTGCCTGCTGTCCTTGAAGATCTCACTTGGCCTTGTTCAGGGACAAATGACACATCTGGGGGCATACATGCTACAGCAGTCATGCGAGAACCTGGAAAGCCATCTTCTCAAACATACCCAATATATTTACAATAAAATTATCTTTTAGACATTGTATTAATTATCTTTTTCTTTTTTTTTTTTTTTGAGACATTGTCTCGCTCTATCGCCCAGGCTAGAGTGTGGTGGTGTAATCTCAGCTCACTGCAGCCTCTGCCTCCTGGGTTCAAGCAATTCTCCTGAGTAGCTGGAATTACAGGTGCGAACCACCACGCCTGGCTAATTTTTGTATTTTTAGCAGAGATGGGGTTTCACCATGTTGGCCAGGCTGGTCTCAAACTCCTGACCTCAGTTGATCAGCCTGCCTCAGCCTCCCAAAGTGCTGGGATTAAAGGCGTGAGCCACCACACCCAGCCAAAATTATCTTAAATAAAATCTCTAATATAAACAATTTAAGACCAGACATGTCTTGCCTGTAATCCTAAGCACTTTGTGTGACCAAGGCAGAAGGATTGCTTGAGGCCAGGGGTTTGAGACCAGCCTGGGCAACATAGTGGGAACCATTCTCTACTAAAAACATAAAAGAATTAGCCAGGCATGGTGGTGCACGCCTATGGTTCCATCTACTCAGGCTGCTGAGGCAGGAGGACTTCTTGAGCCCAGCAGTTCGAGGCTGCAGTGAACTGATTGTGCCACTGCACTCCAGCCTGGGTGAAAACAGAGTTAGACCCTGTCTTAAAAAAAAAAAAAAAAAAGGAAAAAAAATCTCAGGTCAGGCATAGTGGCTCATACCTGTAATCCCAGCACTCTGGGATGCCTAGGCAGGAGGATGGTTGGAACCCAGGGTTTGAGACCAGCCTAGGCAACATAGCAAGACCCCATCTCTACAAGAAATAAAAATTAGTTGGACGTGGTGGTGTGTGCCTGTAGTCCCATCTACTAGGGTAGCTAACGCAGGAGGATCACTTGAGCCCAGAAGGTTCAGGCTGCAGTGAGCTATGATCATGCCACTGTAATCCAGCCTAGGTGACACAGTGAGACCACATCTCTAAAAAAAGTTAAAAAATATTTTAAAAAATTTTAAATAGACAATACCTAAAAACTACTTTTAAAATATGCTGTGGGGCCGGGCACAGTGGCTCAGGCCTATAATCCCAGCACTTTGGGAGGCCGAGGTGAGGGGATCACTGGAGCCCAGGAGTTCAAGATCAGCCTGGCCAACATGGTGAAACCCTGTCTCTACTAAAAATACAAAATTAGCTGAGCGTAGTGGCAAAGGCCTGTAATCTCGACTACTCGGGAGGCTGAAGCTGGAGAATCACTTGAACCTGGGAGGTGGAGGCTGCACTGAGCTGAGATCGCACCACTGCACTCCAGCCTGGGCAACAGAGTGAGACTCTGTCTCAAAAAACAAATAAAAATAAGTGCATAAAATAAAATATGCTATGGTCTGAATGTTTGTACCCTCCCAAAGTTTGTATATTAAAATATTAAAATTTTATTAATATTTATTAAAATTTAAAATGTATATTAAAATCATCAATGTAATTATTAGGAAGTGGGGCCCCTTGAGAGGTGATTCAGTCTTGGGGTTGAGCCCTCAAGAATGGGATACATGCTTTTAAAACAGGCCCAAGGGAGCTCATCACCTTTTCTGCCATGAGGACACAGGTAGAAGGCCCTACCTATAAACCAGAACATGGGCCTTCAGCAGATACCAAATCTGCCCATACCTTGGTCTTGGACTTCCCAGCCTCCAAAACTGAGAAATATATTTCTGCTGTTCATAAGCCACCCAGTTTGAGGCATTTTGTTATAGCAGCCCACATGGACTAAGACACCATACTCGCCAAAGTGAAGAGCTGTCCCCTTCGGTCATTTATGTAGAGAGCTTTCAACATACCAGCTTCTAGAAGAAGTCCGTGACTGTCAGCTTGGAGAACTGGGGTAATATAATGTCAGCCTCTTGCTCAGTTTTAGCTAGAATAGAGGATTAGAAATGGGAGGATAAATGTTTCTGTAATTGAAAGTGATCCTTATAGCCCGGTGTTGTGGCTCTCGCCTGTAATCCCAGCACTTTGGGAGGCCGAGGCAGGTGGATCAATGAGGCCAGAAGTTCAAGACCAGTCTGGCCAGCATGGTGAAACCCCGTCTCTATTAAAAATACAAAAATTAGCCAGGTATGGTGGTAGGCGACTGTAATCTGAGTTACTTGGGAGGCTGAGGCAGGAGAATCACTTGAACCCAGGAGGCAGAGGTTGCAGTGAGTTGAAGTCTTGCCACTGCACTCCAGCCCGGTGACAGAGTAAGACTCCAGGGGGGGGGAAAAAAAAGAAAGTGATCCTTGGGAATGAGACAGTACAGAACTTTCTCTTAGTCACACATCCTTCCCCTCGGTTTAGACAAGTAGTACAAGAAGATGGAACACAGCTCAAACCCCGACCTAGGCTGAACTCTACCTTCCATTTGGGTACCTCATGTGAGCCATAGGAGGTATAACTCATTCCTGAGCTGGGACCAAGGAGTGATAACCAGACACATTCCCATGGGGTTTCCTGATATTTAAGGGGCTTAGTGGGCTTCTCTGGCACTCATAAAACCCTAATGAGGAGGCTGGGCATGGTGGCTAATGCTTGTAATCCCAGCACTTTGGGAGGCCGCGGTGGGAGGATCATCTGAGGTCAAGAGTTCAAGACCAGCCTGGCCAACATGATGAAACCCCATCTCTACTAAAAATACAAAAAATTAGCCAGACGTAGTGGCATGCGCCTGTAGTCCCAGCTACTTGGGAGGCTGAGGCTTGAACCAGGGAGGCAGAGTTTGCAGTGAGCTGAGATCACACCACTGCACTCCAGCCTGGGTGACAAGAGTGAAACGACCTCTCAAAAACAAACAAACATACAAACAAACAAACAAACAAAAAACCTATTGAGAAGTCATCTATGTTTCAAGCGTTATTGTTATGGAAGTTCCATGCCTCACTGGACACAGTCCTGGGATACTGAGCTTTCTGTTTTCAACATTATTTTTATTTTGAGACAGGGTGTCGCTCTGTCGCCCAAGCTGGAGTGCAGTGGTGCGATCACAGCTCTCTTGCAGCTTGACCTCCTGGACTCAAATGATTCTCCTGCCTCAGCCTCCCGAGTAGCTGGAACTATAGGTATGCACCACCATACCTGATGAATTTTTTTTAAATTTTTTGTAGAGATGGGGTCTCACTATGTTGCCCAGGCTGGTCTCAAACTCCTGAGCTCAAGTAATCCTCCTGCCTCGGCCTCCCAAAGTGCTGAGATTAGAGTTTTGGGCCACCGTGCTTGACCTTTTCATTATTAATGTGGTATGAGGATTTCCCAGTGAAAAGGAGGTTTGGCAAGTCATAACCATTGACAGCTACATACCCCCACCAGCATCTTCACAGCAGGCTCGGACTACCCTTAACATAAGGCTGGTCAATTTCTAACAAAGGATCCCAGGGCAGGCTGATTCTACAAACAGCATAAAAAGTGTATCTAGGTCAGGTGTGGTGGCTTACTCTGGTAATCCCAGCACTTTGGGAGGCCAAGGCAGGTGGATCACTTGAGGTCAGGAGTTCGAGACCAGCCTGGCCAACATGGTGAAACCCCATCTCTACTAAAAATCCAAAAATTAGCTGGGTGTGGTGGTGGGCGCTTGTAATCCCAGCTCCTCGGGAGGATGAGGCAGAAGAATCACTTGAACCCGGGAAGCAGAGGTTGCAGTGAGCCGAGATCATGCCACTGCACTCCAGCCTGGGCAACAGAACGAGACTCCATCTCAAAAAGAAAAGAGAACTCCAGGGCAAAATAAGCACCTCGGTCCCTGCCCTGTGCAGCCCTCCCTGTGCCAAGCACACAGCAAGGGCTTGCTCAACCCCCACAGGCCAGGCGTACTCTTTCCGCGGCACAGGCACCCCCACAGAGGGAACACAGTCTAGGTTACTCACCAACAACACTGGGGGCGTCGATCAGGTTCAGCAGGTCATCATCCTCCTGGTGCTGGGCGTACATGAGCCGGGAGCGTTCCTGTGCTGCACACAGCACCTTCTGTAGCACCTCAATGCTCTGCAGCTTCTTGCAGAGGCTGGCCTCCTGCACTGACTCCTCGTGATGAGCCATGGCTCTGCACAGGTGGGACTTCCCTGCAGACGGAAGCCAGCACCCACGTGACTTGGAGATCCACCAAACAGAGCATAAGGGCCCAAAGGGCAGCCCAAGAGGTTGGACGTTCTCTTTTCTAAAGGATCTGCCTGGATAGCTAGAGCCCGTGATACCCTACCTTGTTTTAACCTGAGTGACTCTCTCCTAGCAGAGAGAGACAGACAGACTACATTTTAGTTTCTTCACTTGCAGCCCCCTTTATCCCCCTTAAGGGAATAACTAGTGTAAGCTGACTCCAAGCACACCCAGGAATGCAAACTGCTGATAAGATACTGAGGCAGGCTGTACCAGCAGCTCCTGGGGATGTGCTCAGTGGCAGGTACCTAAAGCCCCTGCATTTATCTCTTAGTGATAGTTTAAGCACCTGCACCTGGAACTGTTTATTTTTTGTAACTGCTTCTATAACGAATTACTTTTTTAACTTTTTGCCTATTCTACTTCTGTAAAATTGCTTCAGTTAAACCCCCCTCCCCTATTTAGGCCACAGTATAAAAGAAAATCTAGCCCCTTCTTCAGGCCCGAGACAATTTCGAGCATTATCCGTCTCTCGGTCACCGGCTAATAAATGACTCCTGAATTAGTCTCAAAGTGTGGCGTTTCTCTACAATTCACTTGGTTACAACAAGCCTTTTATTAAAATATTATTTTATTTCATTTTATATTTTATATTTAGAGACAGGGTCTCACTTTGTTTCGCATGCTGGAGTACAGTGGTGCAATCATGGCTTACCGTAGCCTCAAACTCCTGGGCTCAACTGAAATTCCCGCTTCTGACTCTTGAGTAGCTGGGACCACAGGCATGCACCACCACACTTGGATAATGTTTTCATTATCATTATCATTTCATTATCATTGCTATGTTGCCCAGGCTGGTCTCAAACTCCTGGCCTCAAGCAATCTGCCTGCCTTAGCCTCCCAGAGTGCTGGGATGACAGGCGTGAGTCACCGCGCCCAGCCCAAGCCTCCCTTAAATGCATATGTAATAAGCTCACTTGTGTCCATAAGATGTTCACTCAACAAATATTTACCAAATGTGCTGGGCACTAGAGATAAAGCAACGAGTAAACAAACTGCCCCCACATTCATGGAGTTTACATGTAGTGGTTGAAGACAGATAACTAACAAGACAAGAAATATGTAATGGATGGGGTGGTGATGAGGTTATAGAGAAAAATAAAGCAGGGTAAGCAGAGATGGTAAGAGAAGACTGGGAATGGGGTTGTCCTATGATGGGTGACCAAGAAAGGCTTTTTTTTTTTTTCTTGAGACGGAGTCTCACTCTGTCACCCAGGCTGGAATGCAGTGGCACGATCTCGGCCCACTGCAACCTCTGCCTCCCAGGTTCAAGCGATTCTCCCACCTCAGCCTCCCAAGTAGCTGGGACTACAGGCACACACCACCACATCTGGCTAAGTTTTTGTATTTTTGGTAGAGACGGGGTTTCTCCATGTTGCCCAGACTGGTCTCAAACTCCTGACTTCAAGCCATCCTCCCACCTCAGCCTCCCAAAGTGCTGGAATTGCAGGCATGAGCCACCACACCCAGCCAAGGAAGGCTTTGTGATATGGTCCTTTTTGAGAAGAGCCCTGATGGATGTGAAAGAGCAGCAGGTGCGAGGGCCCTGGAGCAGGGGCACGCACAGGTGTTCAAGGGCAAGGAGGAGCTAAGGTGTGCCTGAAGGTGGGAGAGAATGAGTGCAGGGAAGGAACAAGGCCAGATCATGGCGGATCTCATGCGTGCGAGATGAGGGCTCTCACTCCTGTTCTGCGTGAGATGGGAGCCCACTGGGGTGTGAGCAGGGGACTGATGTGATCTGGCCTGCATGAGCAGACTCTGAAGGGGCAGCAAGAAAACCAGCTATGAGCAGGGCAAGCCACGTGACCGCTCTGGGTCTCAGTTTCCTCAGCTGTAAAATGGGGATGCCATGAGACCCACCTCATAGTGTTGTGTGGGGTTTAAGTGAGTAAATGTTTCTTACATAAGCACTGTACACATGTGGCTTCCACCAGGGCAGCAGGGTTAAAGTGGCCAGATTTGAGTGTGTCTTCTAGGTACAGCCAAAGGGATTTGCTAATCAAATGTAGGGTGAGAAAGTAAGACAAGAGGTTAGGTGTGGTGGCTCGTGCCTGTAATCCCAGCACTTTGGGAGACAGAGGAAGGAGGATCGCTGGAGGCCAGTAGTTCAAAACCAGCCCGGGCAACATAGTGAGACCGCATCTCTACAAAAACCTTTCTACAATATTAGCCGGGCATGGTGGTGCACGCCTATAGTCCCAGCTACTCAGCAGGCTGAGGCAGGAGGATCACTTGAAGCTCGGAGTTCAAAACCAGCCCGGGCAACATAGTGAGACCGCATCTCTAAAAAAACCTTTTTATAATATTAGCCGGGCATGGTGGTGCACGTCTATAGTCCCAGCTACTCAGCAGGCTGAGGCAGGAGGATCACTTGAAGCTCGGAGTTCAAAACCAGCCCGGGCAACATAGTGGGACCACATCTCTAAAAAAACCTTTTTATAATATTAGCCGGGCATGGTGGTGCATGTCTATAGTCCCAGCTACTCAGCAGGCTGAGGCAGGAGGATCACTTGAAGCCAGGAGTTTGAGGCTGCACTGAGCTGTGATTGCACTACTGCACTGCAGCCTGGGGGACAGCAAGATGCTGTCAAAGAAAGCAAATGAAAGAAAAGGAAAGAGGAAAGGAGGGAGGAAGGGTAGATGGGGAGGAGAGAAAGAGAGAAAGGAAAGAAAGAAAGAATAAAAGAGAGAGAGGAAAGGAAAGGGAAAGAAAAGGAAAGCAACAAGGAAAAAGAAAAGGAGAGGAGAGGGGAGGGGAGAGGGGAGAGGGGAAGGGTGAAGGGAGAGGAGGAAGGATGAGAGGAGAGGGGAGGGGAGAGGAGGGGAGGGGAGCAGAGGGGAAGAGAGGAGAGGGGAGCAGAGGGGAGGGGAGGGGAAAGAGGAGGAAAGAAAAGAAGACTGGAGAGTGAGTCCAAGGTTTCTGGCCTGAGCACCTAGAGGGGTGGGAGTTGCCATCACTGAGACGGGGAAGCTGCGTATGTGTGCGTGGGGGCAGATTAGGGTGGTGGAGGTGAGGTCTGCACATGGGAAGAGATATTCACACTGAGACATGGCAGAGACCAAACCAGGACACTTCATTACCAGTCATTAGGTGTTCTTGGGAATTCAGCCATGCATAAGGAAATCAACAAACGTCTCCTTCCCTGTTAGCATGATACAGGCCACCCTGTGGACCCCAAGGGAGATGGTTAAAGTCCTGGCTCCACAGGGGGAGGCCTGGGTGCTATGGAACCCATGAGAACACAGCCTGGGAAGCCCTCTGAGGCTCAGGACTGTGCCTCATGACTTCCGAACCCAAAGTGGCCACGATGACTTGGAACACCCCCCTCTCCCGGGCCCTCTTCAGGGACCTCTCTGTGGCTGTCTGTGAGCAGGACCAGCTGGTCACCAAGTGGGACCCACATCTGGGTGCAGAGGGACATGCACCCAGCTGTTGGCGCTGCTGATCATTCTTCAGTGTGGCCAAGGGTGTCAGCCCCTCTGGCATGTGGTCGTAGAGCTGGGACAGGCACTTCTCCTGGTGGTCCAGATCCGTGCCTGGCTTCACTGCAAAGAGAACCACAGGTTAAATCCCCTCTCATGGACCTGGCCACAGACCCACATAGAGATTTCTCTTTCTACCATGTCTCTAGTTTCCTTTCTTCTGCAGTTTCACAAGGCATTTGGGATCATGGCTCTCCTTTCTGCCCCTGGACACACCCCAGGCAGTCTGACCCTCAAGCTTTTTTTTTCTTTGAGACGGTCTCACTCTGTCACCAGGCTGGAGTGCAATGGCACAATCATATTTCACTGCAGCCTTGAACTCCTGGGCTCAAGTGATCCTCCCACCTCAGCCTCCTGAGTAGTTAGGACTACAGACATGCACCACCACACGCCAGGCTAATTTTTAAATTTTTTTGTAAAGATAAGTTCTTGCTACATTGCCCATGCTGGTCTCAAACCCCTGGGTTCAAACGATCCTCCTGCCTTAGCCTCCCAAAGTGCTGGGATCAAATGTGTGAGCCACCATGCCTGGCTACCCCGAAGCTCTTGCTCACTGGAACCAGTCATGCTCCAGAGGTTCAGAGGTTCAGAATTTTTTTTTTTTTTTTGAGATGGAGTTTCGCTCTGTCGCCCAGGCTTGGGTGCAGTGGTGTGATCTTGGCTCACTGCAACCTCCACCTCCCGGGTTCAAGTGATTCTCCTGCCTCAGCCTCCCGAGTAGCTGGGATTACAGGCATGTGCCACCATGCCCAGCTAATTTTTCTATTTTTAGTAGAGACGGGGTTTCAGCATCTTGGCCAGGCTGGTCTCAAACTCCTGACCTCATGATCCACCCATCTCGGCCTCCCAAAGTGCTGGGATTGTAGGCGTGAACCACCACACCTGGTGAGGTTCATAATTTGACCCTGAGCCCCCACACACTACCTCCTCTGACTCACCCACCACACAGAACCTCCTAGCACAGCCCAGACCCTGTCATGCCTGGCCTGCACCCCTCTGCAGTCCTGCACACCTGCAGCAGAGCCCCTTCCTGCTTCAACCACACCCTCCCTGGTGCATATCCTGCTCTCAAACCTCACAAAACCACTCTCCACTTCCCCAGCACCCTCGGCCTCTGTTCCTGTGCTCAGACACTTTACTCCCTCTAGGCTGACCCTTCCCTCCTGTGCAGATGGAAAAGTTGAACTCAAATGTCACCGCCTCTGAGAAGCCATCAATGACTGCACCATGGAGTCCACCTGCTGCTGCATTTGTGTCTCTGCAGCAATCACCAAGGCACTATATGGTATTTCTATTTGTTTCAACATCTTGTCTCGCCTAATAGACTATATAGTACTAGGAGTGGTGGCTCACACTTTCAGAGAACCTACAGCATATAAAGCATTATTGAGCTTTGCATACAGGCCCTTCATTTTCATGACAGCCTGTGAGGTAGATTCTCTCCATATACCCATTTTACAGATGAGAAAATCGAGGCAGAGGACAGCTAAGTAACTTGCCCAAGGTAATACAGCTCATTCATGGCAGAGCTGAGATATGAACCCAGGAAGTCTGGCTCCAGAGGCTGTCTTTTTAATTCCTCGGGAGGCTGCCTGGATTAGTACTTATTAGATCAAAAATCCCTGGCCAGGCACCATGGCTCATGCCTGTAATCCCAACACTTTGGGGAGGCCAAGGCAGGACAATTGCTTGAGGCCAGGAATTTGAAACCAACCTAGGCAACATAGTGAGACTCCATCTCTACGAAAAAAATTTTTTTCAATTAACTGGTGTAGTGGCATGTGCCTGTAGTCCCAGGTATTCAGGAGGCTGAAGTGGGAGGATTGCTTGAGCCCAGGAGTTCAAGAAGGCAGTGAGCCATGATCATACCACTGCACTCCAGCCCCATCTCTAAAAATAAATAAAATAAAATAAAATAAAATTAAATTAAATTCCGATCATCACAGATTTTTTTTGCATTAATTTTTATTTTATTATTATTAGTTTTTTTGAGATGGAGTCTTGCTCTGCTGCCCAGGCTGGAGTGTGGTGGCACAATCTCGGCTCACTGCAACCTCCACCTCCCCGGCCCAAGCCATTCTCCTGCCTCAGTCACCGGAGTAGCTGGGATTAGAGGCACGCGCCATGCCCGGCTAATTTTTGTATTTTCAGTAGAGACAGGGTTTCACCATGTTGGCCAGGCTGGTCTCAAACTCCTGACCTCAAATGATCTGCCTGCTTTGGCCTTCCAAAGTGCTGGGATTATAGGCTTGAGCCACTGTACCCGGCCTGCATTAATTTTGATTCTTTTAAAATATTACCTTAAAATGTTACTTATCTTGATGCCAGCATTTTTGGCATTCCCTTAGATTCTAGATTCCAGGTGAAAATTCATCCTCTTGCACACAGGCAGAATTAAAGGTGCCTCCTCTTCCTCCCTCTAAAGAAGCTTATAACCCCTAACCCCACCATGGCCTGTGCAGCAGCTGCCTCAGTCATGGGTCATTCTCATCCTCTGCCTTCAGCCTGTGAGCATCTCCAGGGAAGGCAGTTAGCTCTCACTCAGCTCAGAATCGCCCCTGGGGCAGCTGGACCACAGCCCTGGCCAAACCCCCGAACCCCACAGGCCTTACCCTGGTGGTCGATGAGGAGGATGGCAGTGAAGTAGTGGGCCAGGGCCGCATAGTGGTGGGCCTTCACGCAGGCCAAGCTGGCCCAGGAGTAGGGGATGTTCTCTTTCACCAGCACCTGGCTCATGGCTGCGTGCAGCTGTCGGCAGACCTCTCCCACCTGAAATAGAAGGGGCATTGGGAAGGGGCAGCCCGGCACAAGGGCCCTCATGAACCCATTTGCAGAGAAAGAGCCCTTTCTTCTTCTCATGCAACAGCCCCTGCCAGGGGCTGCTCCAGAATCTGGGAGCAACTCCAAGCAACCCCCCGTTCTGTCATTGTCACAGTTAACAGGGGGATCAGGCTGCTGTCATTATGCTGGTTTTTAGGTTAAGCTGCAGATGGAATCAGTGATCCGTATCTGAAACACCAACACTTGCCAAGAAAACTCAAGCCAGCAGTACTGGCCGGAGCTGGCACAATGCCCAGGTCACAGGCAAGCTCCTGTGGGAAGGCCCCATTACTTCCAGTGCTCCTGTGCCAGCATTTCCTGCCCACCCCCCAAAGTCACAGGAACCAGGGAGTCTTACCTTGGCAGCCTCCTGAGCCACCTTCACCAGCATGAAGAATTCATTCCAGATCCCAGGAAGGCTGATTTTCTCAAACACGCTTTCTTGGGTTTGTGCAAGCATCATTTTGACAAGCACGCTGAGCATGGCAGGGATCATATCGTAACTTGGATTATGGGTAAATGTCTCTTTCAGGTAGTTTAAAACCCCTAAAAGTGGAAAATGTTTTGCCCATTAGTTCGGGTTTATATTTACTTCATCACGTTGCTGTAGAGAAAGATAGGAGGCCAGGTGTGGTGGCTCATGCCCATAATCCCAACACATTGGGAGGTCAAAGTGAGCAGATCACTTGCGTCAGGAATTTAAGACCAGCGTGGGCAACATGGTGAAACCCTGTCTCTACAAAAAATACAAAAATTAGCTGGGTGTGATGGCGTGCACCTATAGTCTCAGCTCCTCTGGAGGCTGAGGCAGGAGGATTGCTTGAGCCCAGGAGGCAGAGGTTGCAGTGAGCTGAGATCTCACCACTGCACTCCAGCCTGGGTGACAGAGCAAGACTCCGTCTCAAAAAAAAAAAAAAAAAAAAAAGGAAAGATAGGAGGAAAAAAAAAGAACCGGTGTCCTACAACATATTAAAAAGTTTGATTCTCAATTATATGGTCCAGCAATTCCACTCCTATGATATATATCCCCAAACAATTGAAAGTGGGGGCTTAAGTGATACTTGAACACCCGTGTTAATAGCAACATTATTTACAAGAGCTGAAAAGTGGAAACCACCCAGACATCCGTGAGCAGATGAATGATTAAACACAATGTGGCCTATCCATACAATGGAGTATTTTTCAGCCTTAAAAAGGAATGAAATTCTGACACATGGTACAGTGTAAATAAGGGCATTATGCTAAGTGAAACAAGCCAGTCACAAAAGGACCAATATTGTAGGATTCCATTTAGATAAGGTACCCAGAATAGTCAAATTCACAGAAACAGAAAGGAGAACAGAGGTTAGCTGGGGCTGGGAAAGGGGGCAATGGGAAGTTATTGCTTAACTGAGTACAGAGCTTTGCTTATCCATCATCCAGATGAAAAAGTTCTGGAGATAGCTGGGCACAGGGGCTGCTGCCTGTAATCCCAGCTACGAGGGAGGCTGAGGTGGGAGGGTTGCTTGATATTAAGAGTTCAAGACCAGCCTGGGCAACATACTGAGACCCCTGTCTCTTAAAAAATATATACTTTTTAAAAATGTATTTATTTTATTTATTTTTGAGACAAGATCACACTCTGTTGCCCAGACTGGAGTGCAGTGGCATGATCATGACGCACTGCAGCCTTAAACTCCTGGGCTCAAGCAGTCCTCCCACCTCAGTCTCCTGAAGAGCTGGGACTACAGACATGCACTACCCCACACCCAGCTAATTTTAAAATTTTTTGTACAGATGGGGTGTGCCTATGTTGCCCAGACTGGTCTCCAATTCTTGGATTCAAGTGATCCTCCTGACTCAGCCTCCCAAACTGCTGAGATTACAGGTGTGAGCCACCTTGCCTAACCAACAAAAAATATTTTTAACTTCTGGAGATGTTTAGTGGTAATGGCTGCACAACACTATGAATGTACAAATGCACTTAATGCCATTGAACTACACACTTCAAAATGGTTAAAATGTGCTTCTGGTTGGCAGGATAATTTTAAAATTTTAAAAATTTAAGATAATCATTAAAATGGTAATTTTATGTTGTATTATTTTACTGTAATAAAAAAACTGGTTAAAATAGTACATTTTAGGTTATATATGTATATTTTAACACTATTTATTTATTTATTTATAAATAAATGCCCAGGCTGGAGTGCAGTGGCATGATTTCAGCTCACTGAAACCTCTGCCTCCCAGGTTCAAGCGATCCCCCTGCCTCAGCCCCCCAAGTAGCAGGGATTACAGGTGCTCACCACCACACCCAGCTAATTTTTGTATTTTTACCACAGATGGGGTTTCACCATGTTGGCCAGACTGGTCTTGAACTCCTGACCTCAGGTGATCTGCCTGCCTCGGCCACCCAAAGTGCTGGGGTAACAGGTGTGAGCCACCCCACCTAGCCTTTTAACCCAATTTTTAAAAATTGGATTATCTTCCAAAACACTTACATCTCTATTGAGTAGAGAAACCAGCCTGCTCCCCACAACTCCTGTGTCACCTGGGACAAAATTCCATCATGACAGGTATGGAGATGCAAGCAGAGAGCAGGCACAAGGACTGAGGGGCTCACAGGGGGCCAGGCTCACACATAAGATCTGAGTCATTCAGCAGTCCAGGGCTTTTCCCCTGGACCTCAAGAAAGATCTGTTCTGGCCAGGCACGGTGGCTCATGCCTCTAATCCCAGCACTTTGGGAGGCCAAGGCGGGTGGTTCACCTGAGGTCAGGTTCGAGACCAGCCTGGCCAACATGACAAAACCCTGCCTCTACTAAAATTATAAAAATTAGCCAGGCATGATGGTACACACCTATAATCCCAGCTACTCAGGAGGCTGAGGTAGGAGAATCACTTGAACCCGGGAAGCGGAGGCTGCAATGAGCCGAGATCTCACCACTGCACTCCAACCTGGGTGATAGAGTGAGATTCCGTCTCAAAAAAAAAAAAAAAAAAAAAAAACTCAATCCGTCTGCTCCAATGGAAATTTTCATGCTGCAGCCTTCCACTGACTTCTTTATAGTTTAGAAAATTAACTGTCCAAAGCGCTAACTGACAATCAATCTGGAACTGAAATAGAGTCTCTCATATGAATCCCAGCCAACTGGGTCCTCTGGTTTTGTTGCTGAGCAAAAAAAAAAAAAAAAAAAAAAAATCCCCGCCCTGCGGAGGGATGGCACCTGCTGTTTTGAGCTGTGAGCTCCGTGGGGGTTCCCTCACACTCCCCACTGTTCTCCCACTTGCTTCATTTCATCTATAATTTGTCTCCATTGCTATAATCTCAGAGACAGGACACAGAGTGCCTGCCTAAGATTCCCCAGAAAGATGAGTCCAGAAAAAAGATTTACAACAAAAGAAATCAACTCATACTTGGAATCTTAGCATATCACTTCATCCTAAGAGAACAATCTTTCATTTTTTTAATTAATTAATTATTTTTTGAGACAGGTTCTTGCTCTGTCGCCCAGGCTGGAGTGCAATGGCACGATCTTGGCTTACCACAACCTTGGGTGATCCTTCCATCTCAGCCTCCCAAGTAGCTGAGACTACAGGCATGCACCACCAGGCCCAGCTAATTTTTGTACTTTTTGTAGAGATGGAATTTTGCCTTGTTGCCCAGGCTGATCTCAAATTCCTGAGCTCCAGCAATCCACCCACCTCAGCCTCCTAAAGTGCTGGGATTACAGGCATGAGCCACCATGCCTGGCCTATTTCTTTAATTAAAAAAAATTCTTTTTGGCAATCCTAGCTCACTGCAGCCTCAAACTCCTGGGCTTAATTGATCCTCCCGTCTTAGCCTCTGGAGTAGCTGGAACTATGGGTGTACACCACCACGCTTGGCTAATTTTAAATATTCTGTAGAGACAGGGTCTTCCTGTGTGGCCCAGGCTGTTAGGACCAATCATTGTAACATCACAAATTTCACAATGAGTTGAAGTGGCAAAGCTCTGGTTCTTCACAAGCTTGCAGGGCAAAGTGATATCAAACAATGATCCACACGGGTGGAAGGGGATCACACCCCAAAGCAGAATGTCGATGATCAACCTAGAAGGCAACACACTATAGAGCTAGTGTGGAGAACACACTGTGGTCTACACTGTGCCCTGCTCTTGCATCCATCCCCATGCGGAGTCTGACCCAGACACAGGCCCTGCTATGGGGGAGCAAGGCAGAACCCGCAGGCAAGGGTGAGCCATGCCAGGCTCACCCACAGCACTGGGTCTGGTGACCCCGGTCCTCTACAGGTGTAAGCACTAGGCTGCTTTTCTCCTCGACCCCGCACCTTGTTCTCATACTAGGATTACCTGAGGTCAGGAGTTTGAGACCAGCCTGGCCAACAGGGCAAAACCTCATCTCTACTAAAAATACAAAAATTAGCCGGGCATGGTGGCAGGCGCCTGTAATCCCAGCTACTTGGGAGGCTGAGGCAGAAGAGTTGCTTGAACCCAGCAGGCAGAGGTCGTAGTGAGCAGAGATTGTGCCACTGCACTCCAGGCTGGGTGACAAGAGCAAGACTCTATCTCAAAATAAACAAATAAATAAAATAAAATAAAACAACAAAAGACAGTTCCCAGAAGAAGGGAACTGAGCTATGAGACATCCTTTGAATGCATCACTTGACAAAGGGTTGAGAACACCCACCTCATGCTGGAGAAGCTGGCAGAATGCAGGTGACATAAAGGCATGGAGGGGCAGGGTGTGGTGGCTCACCCTGTAATCCCAGCATTTTGGGAGGCTGAGGCAGGCGGAACACCTGAGGTCAGGAATTCGAGACCAGCCTGGCCAGGATGGTGAGACCCCATCTCTACTAAAAATACAAAAATTAGCCGGGCGTGGTGGCGGGTGCCTGTAATCCCAGCATTTTGGGAGGCTGAGGCAGGCAGAACACCTGAGGTCAGGAATTCGAGACCAGCCTGGCCAGGATGGTGAGACCCCATCTCTACTAAAAATACAAAAATTAGCCGGGCGTGGCGGCGGGTGCCTGTAATCCCAGCTACTCAGGAGGCTGAGGCAGGAGAATCACCTGAAACCGGGAGGTTTCAAGCAGTGAGCCAACATTGCGCCACTGCACTCCAGCCTGGGCGACAAGGGCGAAAATCCATCTCATAAATAAATAAATAAATAAATAAAGGCACGGAGAGTAATACGCACAGATAGGGTACACCTAATACAAGAAAAAGAAGCCTACGGTTTCACTATTTGGGAAAAGTTATTCTGCTCTTCATGACAGTGTTGAAAGAAACAGTTATGCACTGCCATCCCAGGGCCACTTGTCTGGAAAAGATCAATCATCAGCCACAGGATTCACCATGTACATCAAGCCATCCCAGACTGAGGTCTGAACCACCGAGCAAGTTTCTTTTTTTTTTTTGAGACGGAGTCTGACTCTGTCACCCAGGCTGGAGTGCAGTGGCGCAATATCCGCTCACTGCAAGCTCCGCCTCCCGGGTTCATGCCATTCTCCTGCCTCAGCCTCCCAAGTAGCTGGGAATACAGGTGCCTGCCACCAGGCCCAGCTAATTTTATGTATTTTTAGTAGAGATGGGGTTTCACCATGTTAGCCAGGATGGTCTCGATCTCCTGACCTTCGTGATCCACCTGCCTCGGCCTCCCAAAGTGCTGGGATTACAGGCATGAGCCACTGCGCCCGGCTGGAGCAAGTTTCTTAATGGGAAGTTACACCAGAGCTGAAGATTGCTCTGGCCCTTGCAGGGGACGACCTGTAGACCCTCTTCAGTGGGGGGGTCACCTGGTGCCTCCAGGCGGGGCCAAGGCTCTGTCCAGTTAGCCCTGGAGGAGACATACCTGCAGCTCTCTGAAAGGCATCTATGGCACTCTGCAGCCCAGCCTGCGTGTGCCGATAGCGCTGGGTCCCAATCTGGGTGTAGAGGACCCCAGTGTTGAACAGGACACTGGCCTTCTCCAGCAGCAGGTTCTGCTGGCTGACCAGAACCCCAGTGAGGGAGTCATACCTATGTGAAAGAAATGCATTTAGGGAATACAGATTACTTGGCTAGTTAATGCTACTTTTGGATGCAAGTGGAAAAATTATTATTATTATTATTATTATTATTATTTTATTTATTTATTTTTGAGATACAGTCTCACTCTGTCACCCAGGCTGGAGTCCAGTGGAGCGATCTCAGCTCACTGCAAGCTCTGCCTCCCAGGTTCATGCCATTCTCCTGCCTCAGCTTCCCAAGTAGCTGGGACTACAGGCACCCGCCACCACGCCCAGCTAATTTTTTTGTATTTTTAGTAGAGACAGGGTTTCACCGTTTTAGCCAGGATGGTCTCGATCTCCTGACCTCGTGATCCGCCCACCTCAGCCTCCCAAAGTGCTGGGATTACAGGCGTGAGCCACTGTGCCTGGCTCTATTATTATTTTTTTAAGAGTCAGGATCTCACTCTGTTGCCCAGGCTGGAGTGCAGTGGTGTGATCATAGCTTACTGCAGCCTCCAACTTTAGGGCTCAATTGATCCTCCCACCTCAGCCTCATGAGAAAGCTGGGATTACAGGTGCATGCCACCATACCTGCCTAATTTTTTTTTTTTAATTTTTGTAGAGATGGGGTCTCACTATGTTACCCAAACTGCTGTTAAACTCCTGGGTTGGCTGGGTGCAGTGGCTCACACCTGTAATCCCAGCACTTTGGGAGGCCAAGGTGGGTGGATCACCTGAGGTCAGGAGTTCGAGACCAGCCTGGCCAACATGGTGAAACCCAGTCTCCACTAAAAATACAAAAATTAGCCAGGCATGGTAGCGGGCACCTGTAATCCCAGCTACTCAGGAGGCTGAGGCGGGAGAACTGCTGGAACCCGAGAGGCGGAGGTTACAGTGAGCCAAGATTGTGCCACTGTGCTCCAGCCTGGGCAACAATAACAACAACAACAAACTCATTTCTTCAATAAAATTCAAGAATGCACATGCACTGAGGCTTTTGTTTCCAAGCAAGATGACAGGACTAATCACACTGACCACCACAGCCACACACAAAAATATCTGATGGGGTAACTTTATAAACACAGCATGGGACATCCAGACAATGGACTATTACTCAGTACTAAAAATGGAGCCTTTTCAAGCAAGCCTTGAAAAGATGCAGAAGAAACATTACCAAGAGCCAACCTGAACATTGCTACCTACCGTATAGCACGCTGTGTGAGTCCAACATTCTGAAAAGCCAAAAACCCTGGAGACAGAAGAAAGATCAGGGGTTGCCAGGACTTAGGGGGAGGGAGGGAGGAACAGGCAGAGCACACGGAGGATTTTTCCAGCAGGGAAACTCTTCTGTACGACACTGCAAAGATGGATCACTGTCACTCTATGTTGGTCAAAAGCCGCAGAATACACAAGTGCAAGAATGAACCCTAATGGGAACTATGGACTCTGGGTGATAATGATGTGTCAGGTAAATTCCTCAATTATTAAAAAAAAAAAAATGCGCTGGGTGCGATGGCTTACACCTGTAATCCCAGCACTTTGGGAGCCCAAGGCAGGCAGATCACAAGGCCAGGGACTGAGACCAGCCTGGCCAACGTGGTGAAACCCCATCTCTACTAAAAATACAAAAATTAGCCAGGCGTGGTGGGGCACACCTGTAATCCCAGCTACTCAGAAAGCTGAGGCAGAAGAATCACTTGAACCCAGGAGGCGGAGGTTGCAGTGAGCCGAGATCACGCCACTGCCCTCCAGCCTGGGCAACAGAGCGAGAATCTGTCTCAAAAAAAAAAAAAAAAAAAAAAGGCCGGGTGCAGTGGCTTACACCTGTAATCCCAGCATTTTAGAGGCCAAGGCAGGTGGCTGGCTTGAGCTCAGGAGTTTGAGACCAGCCTGGGCAACATAGTGAAACCCCTCTCTATCAAAAATACATGGTGGTGGCATGTGCCTTTAAGCCCAGCTACTTGGGAGGCTAAGGTGGGAAGATGGTTTGATACTGGGAGGCAGAGGTTGAAGTGAGCTGAGATCACACCACCACAATCCAGCCTGGGTGACAGAGTGAGACTCCGTCTCAAAAAAAAAAAAAGTGTGTGTGTGTGTGTGTGTGTGTGTGTATGGCTTCTCCTAAATGAAATATGGCAATTACTAACCCCTCATAATTCTTTCTGAAATCTAAAACCTCAGGATTTGTTTTACTTTTTTATTTTTTCAGACCAAGTCTCACTCTGTTGCCTAGGCTGGAGTGCAGTGGCATGATCATGACTCACTGCAGCCTCAACCTCCTGGGCTTAAGTGATCCTCTCATCTGAGCCTCCCAAGTAGATGGGACTACAGGCATGTGCCCCCCATGCCTGGCACATTTTCTCTAATTGTTTTGTAGAGATGGGGTCTCACTGTGTTGCCTAGACTGGTCTCAAACTCCTGGGCTCAAGTGATCCACCCACCTTGGCCTCCCAACATGCTGGGATTCCAGATGTGAACCACCACACCCAGCCTAGGACTTGTTTTATTTATTTATTTATTTTTATTTTTTGAGACAAAGTTTTGCTCTTTCACCCAGGCTGGAGTGCAGTGGCGCCATCTCGGCTCACTGCAGCTTCTGCTTCCGGGGTTCAAGCAATGGTCCTGCCTCAGCCTCCTGAGTAGCTGGGATTACAGGTGCCCGCCACCACACCCAGCTAATTTTTGTATTTTTAGTAGAGACATGTTGGTCAGGCTGGTCTCGAACTCCCAACCTCAGGTGATCCACCCACCTCGGCCTCCCAAAGTGCTAGGATTACAGGTGTGAGCCACCGCACCTGGCCCTAGGACTTGTTTTAAAGTTTACTCATGAACCAAGGGGTGTGCAGACAGCTTCTCCCTAATTCATGACTAAGGAGAAACCACCTTTCACCATGCAGACAGCCTGGTGCATTGTTAGGAAAAGTCATCCCCCTTTCCTTTGCTTTCCATGAAGAAGGCATCAGTAGCCAACCATTGGCTACAGAAACATTCAATTCTGATACGCCCCCACCTTCTAGGATGTATTCTCCTTTCACTGACACTCCTAACGACACTCAGAGAAGGGGTGCAGCATCTCCAAAGTACTTTTTTTTTAGGTTTTTGGTGTTTTTTGTTTTTTGTTTTTTGTTTTTTGATACAGACTCTCACTCTGTCGCCCAGGCTGGAGCTCAGTGGTGCAATCTTGGCTCACTGCAACCTCTGCCTCCCAGGTTCAAGCAATTCTCCTGCCTCAGCTTCCCAAGTAGCTGGGACTACAGGCATGTACAACCATGTCCAGCTAATTTTTGTATTTTTTAGTAGAAGCAGGGTTTCACCATATTGGACAGGCTGGTCTCGAACTCCTGACCTCATGATCCACCTGCCTCGGCCTCCCAAAGTGCTGGGATTACAGGTGTGAACCACCGCACTCAGCCTTTTTTTTTTCTTTTTTGAAACAGGATTTCACTCCTATCACCCAGGCTGCAGTGCGGTGGTGTGATCTCGGCTCACTGCAACCTCTGCCTCCCGGACTCAAGTGATTCTCCTGCCTCAGCCTCATGAGTACCTGGGACTACAGGTGCATACCATCGTACCCAGCAAATTTTTGTATTGTTTGTAGATATGGGTTTTTGCCACGTTGCCCAGGCTGGTCTCAAACTCCTGGGCTCAAGTGATCTGCTTGCCTCAGCCTCCCAAAGTGTTGGCAATATAGGCATGAAAGCCACTGTACCCAGCCCCCCAAGTATTTAAAGTATACTAATCTTTGAAAACACCAACTGGGTCTACGGCCATACCACCCTGACATGCCTGATCTTGTCTGAAAATACCAATTGTGGAGAAGAATCAAATCCTCTACTTCCATTTTTTAAATCTGATCTAAGCTGAGTGTGTAGCTCATGCCTATAGTCCCAGCTACTCAGGAGGCTGAGGCAGAAATATCACCTGAGCCCAGGAATTCAAGACTAGCCTGGGCAACACAGTGAGACCCCGTTTCAAAAGAAACCTGATCTATTTCTGTTTGGTGCTTTTGTCTCACTGGACAAGACCTGATTTTCTCTCTCTCTCTCTCTCTCTCTCTCTCTCTCACTCACTCACACATACACACGCATGCCCCAGTCCAATCTGAGACAAGAATCTTGCTTCTGGCTAATTCCACTTCAGAGCCCTGTGCTTCCCCAGTGATACAACAAGCAAGAAAAATGTCTCCTCTCCTTGGCTCACTTGTTCTGAGAAGCAAGAGGCCACAGTCTGTTGGGGCCATCTCCCTCGGATCACCTTCATAAATAAATACCAATGTATTGACACCTTTCTAGACTTCCCTGGATAAATGCAAGATAGGAAAGGGGGCTGAGGTGCACAGGGGTGCACCCCGGAAAAATGCAAGATAGGAAAAGGGGCTGAGGTGCCCACAGAGGGGCGTCTGTGATGCTGAGGCTCCAAAACTGTGGCTGCCATAACACGTGAAGCGCCAGCGCAGACCTCCAGCACCTACCAGGTGAACAGGAATCCCATCTGCCATGTGGGTGGGAATAATCGATTCTCAACAAAGCCCAGCTGGATGAAGTATGTCATCAGCAGTTCCACCCTGGCCTCATCCCGGCTGGGCGTCCGACAAGCCTGCGAGGAAAAGAACCCCAGAGGGCATGAGCAGAGGAGGACACAGCTGACAGCCCTTCCCGGAAGGTGCCCTGCACATACCAGCAGATGCCTGTAACTATTTCTGCAGTATGACGACCTCACTGCTGGCATCATCAACTCTAGGAGGGGTGGAAAGAACCTGGGAGGAAGTCAGAAATCCTGGAATCCAGTCCCAGCCCTGCCAGGAGGCAGGTCTCTCCCCTTCTATGGTTTTCCTTTTTTTTTTTTTTTTTAGACGGAGTCTCACTCTGTCACCCAAGCTGGAGTGCAGTGGTGCGATCTTGGCTCACTGTAACTTCCACCTACCAGGTTCAAGTGATTCTCCTGCCTCAGCCTCCCTAGTAGCTGGGATTACAGGCGTGTAGCACCATGCCTGGCTTGTTTTTGTATTTTTAGTAGAAACGGGGTTTTGCGGTGTTAGCCAGTCTGGTCTGAAACTTCTGATCTCAGGTGATCCACCCGCTTCAGCCTCCCAAAGTGCTGGAATTACCAGCATGCACCACCACGCCCAGCTAATTTTTGAATTTTTAGTAGAGACGGGGTTTCACCATGTTGGCCAGGATGGTCTGGAACGCCTGATCTCAGGTGATTCTCCCGCCTCCGCCTCCCAAAGTGCTGGGATTACATAGGCGTGAACCACCGCACCCGGCCTCCTTCTACAGTTTTCTTATGCAGCAAATGGAATGGATGATTCCAGCACCCCCCAGCCATCACCTCAATCTGCCCATGATTCTGTTAAGACCACAAGCGTGCAATAATGGGGTTCCCTGAAAACTTGGAAAAGCTACCCTCCCCTCTCTGCTGCACACAAAAACTTACTTGTCTCAGATCCATAAGATCTGTGATTTCATCTTCATATAAATAGCCATCTTCACTGTAATGTTCCAGGATAAAATCCTTAAAGAAAAGTGAGGTTAGATACTATAAAATGTGATTGAAAACCATGTATGTGCATAACAGTAATATGTCAATTGTGAACCTGTTTCTAAAAAGGCAGAATAAAGAAAAACTTACAGTGATTTTCAAAGTGGGGGAATTTATTTTCTTAATTTATGTAGTTTTTTTTATATGGAGTCTTGCTCTGTAGCCCAGGCTGGAGTGCAGTGGCACAATCTCGGCTCACTGCAACCTCTGCCTCCCAGGTTCACGCAATTCTCCTTCCTCAGCCTCTCAAGGAGCTGGGGTTACAGGCTCCCACCACAACGTCTGGCTAATTGTTGTACTTCTGACCTCAGGTGATCCACCCACCTCACCCTCCCAAAGTGCTGGGATTACAGATGTCAGCCACCGTGTCCGGCCATAGATTTTTTTTTTTTTTTAAACAGGGTTTCACTCCTGTTGCCCAGGCTAGAATGCAATGTTGCAATCTCGGGTCACTGCAACCTCCACCTCCCAGGCTCAAGTGATTCTCATGCCTCAGCCTCCCAAGTAGCTGGGATTACAGGCATGTGCCACCATGCCCAGCTAATTTTTGTATTTTTAGTGGAGATGGAGTTTCACCACATTGCCCAGGCTGGTCTCAAACTCCTGGGCTCAAGCAATCCATCTGCCTCAGCCTCCCAAAGTGCTGGGATTACAGGTGTGAGCACTGCACCCCATGCCTATGTTTTTAAATGCTGTGTTGCTTCAGTAAAAGTGAGAGTTGAAGTTAATTTTTTGCTTAAAAATGTCTTTGTGTCTGCACATCATGGCTCACATCTGTAATCCCAGCACTTTGTGAAGACAGGGCAGGTAAATCACTTGAGCCCAGGAGTTTGAGACTAGTCTATGGACTATACATTCAACCATACTGCAAACACTGCAGATATTCAGGGGCTCAGACTTGCAATTCTGGGCCTCCCTCAGGACCTGGACAAGTTTCCCAGCACAGACCCTGAGGGTAGGACTGTCATAACAGTCCCCTGATACAGGTTTCCTTTGCCAAGAAGACCCTTAACCATGTTATAAAGGCATTTTATTTTATTTTATCTTTGAGGCAGGGTCTGACGTGGTTGCCTAGGCTGGAGTGCAGTGGTGCGATCGCGGCTCACCGCAGCCTCGACTTCTCTGGGCTCAAGTAATCCTCCTACTTCAGCCTCCCAAGTAGCTGGGACCACAGGCACGTGCCACAAGCTAATTTCATTTTTGTATTTTTTAATAGAGATGGGGTTTTGCCCCGTCACCCCACCGCTGCCCCTACAAGTGCTGGCTCCCCCAAGCTGCAAGAAAGGTGATCACATAGATCGCTCAATTATGTCTTCCCAAGTGACTGTGTAACCTCTTTACACAACTTCTACATTAAAGCTCCTCCTGTTTTTGTGTGTTCAACGTACAGACACACAGACAAACACTTGTCTTACAAAAATGGATTTGTACTAAATATACAACTTTGCTGTGCCTTCTTTTTCTTTTTTTAAGAGATGAGGGTCTCGCTCTGTCGTCCAGGGTGGAGTGCAATGGTGCAATCATAGCTCACTGCAGCCTTGAACTCCTGAGCTCAAGTCATCCTCCCACTTCAGCTTCTCCAGTAGAGGGGACTATAGGTCTGCACCATCACACTCAGCTAATATTGTTATTTTTCGTAAAGACAGAGTCTTCCTATGTTGCCTAGGCTGGTCTTGGACTCCTGGCCTCAGGTGATCCTCCCACCTCAGCTTCCCAAAGTGTTGGAATTACAGGTATGAGCCACTGCGCTCAGCTGACTATGCCTCTTTTCTTTAAACTTGGCCATGGGCTGGGTATGGTGGCTCACACCTGTAATCCCAGCGCTTTGGGAGGCTGAGGTAGGTAGATCACTTGAGGTCAGGTGTTCCAGACCAGCCTGGCCAACATGGTGAAACCCTGTCTCCATTAAAAATTAAAAAAATAAAAAAATAAAATAGCTGGGCATGGTGGTTAAAAGGGGTCAGGTGTAGTGACTCATGCCTGTGATCCCAGCACTTTGGGAGGCCAAGGTGGGAGAATCACTTGAGACCAGGAGTTTGAGACCAGCATGGACAACATAGTGAAACCCCATCTCTACAAATAATAAAAAAATTAGCCAGGCGTGCTGAGGCAGGAGGAGGATCACTTGAGCCCAGGAGGTTGAGGCTGCAGTGAGCCATGATCACGTCACTGCACTCCAATCTTATGTTCACCTCATAAAAGTCAAAGAGGATTTTGATTAAATTATATATGTGATCCTGAATTTGAAACTTAGTAAACTAGGGTAGATTAATGTACTTAGTGGGATAAAAAAAATTATCTAACTGGCCAGGCACGGTGGCTCACCCCTGTAATCTCAGCACTTTGGGAGGCCGAGGCAGGTGGATCACTTGAGGCCAGGAGTTCGAGACCAGCCTGGCCAACTTGGTGAAACCCCATCTCTACTAAAAATCCAAAAATTAGCCAGGCATGCTGGCAGGTGCCTGTAATCCCAGCTACTCAGGAGGCTGAGGCAGGAGAATAGCTTGAGCCCAGGATGTGGAGGTTGCAGTGAGCTGAGATTGAGCCATTGCACTCCAGTTTGGATGACAGAGCGAGACTTCATCTAAAAAAAAAAATCCTAACTGAAACCCACTGTAAACATTAGGGACAAAATGAGAATTTCTACCATCACTGTTATTACTTAGCCTAATTCCAAACATTCTCTAGCCCACACATTAAGAAAAATAAGAGACATAAAATCTTGGAAAGAAACAAAATAATTTTTTGCAACACAACAGCATGTTTATAAAACCCAATAGCATCAACTGAAACATTACTAAATTAATAAGAATTCAATAAAGTGGCAAAGAAGTTAACACATGAAAGTCAATAGTAAAAAAGAAAAGTCAATATTTTTCCTTTCTTATACAAGCAATAACCAATTAGAAAAACTTAACAGACAGCCAGGTGTGGTGGCTCACATCTGTAATCCTGGCAGTTTTCAAGGCTGAGGTAGGCGGATCATTTGAGGTCAAGAGTTTGCGACCAGCCTGGCCAGCAAGGTGAAACCCTGTCTCTACTAAAAATACAAAAAATTAGGTGGGTATGGTGGCAGGTGCCTCTAATCCCAGCTACCCAGGAGGCTGAGGCAGGAGAATCACTTGGACCTGGGGGGCAGAGGTTGCAGTGAGCCAAGACTGCACCACTGTACTCCAGCCTGGGCGACACAGTGAGACTCTGTCTCAAAAACAAACAAACAAACAAACAAAACCTAACAGAGAAACAATACCTTTCACAATAGCAACAAAAATACATTTCTAGGGATAAAATTAATACAATTAAGCAGAAAACTATTAAACTTTACCGAAGAACAGATGTGATTTCATTTTCTTTCATTGATTCGAATTTTTTTTTTTTTTTTTTATGAGACAAGGTATCATTCTGTTTTCCAGGATGGACTGCAGGGGCTCAATCACAGCTGACTGCAGCCTCGACCTCTTGGGCTCAAGCAAGCCACCTCAGCCTCCTAAGTAGCTGGGACTAAAGGTGTGAGCCACTGTCCCTGGCCCTATTTCCTCAAAATAAAACAAAATCAGCCAGCTGCAGTGGCTCACGCCTGTAATCCCAACACTTTGGGAAGCTGAGGCGGGTGGATCACTTGAGGTCAGGAGTTCGAGAACAGCCTGGCCAACATGGTGAAACCCTGTCTCTACTAAAAATATAAAAATTAGCTGGGTGTGGCGGTGGATGCCTGTAATCCCAGGTACTCAGGAGGCTGAAGCAGGAGAATCGCTTGAACCTGGGAGACAGAGGTTGCAGTGAGCCAAGACTGTGCCACTGCACTCCGGCCTGGGCTTCAGAGCGAGACTCCCTCTCTAAATAAATAAATACATAAAATAAAACAAAATCACACTGTGAAGCTTCACTGATTATTAAAAAAATCACACGGACACACAAGTCACATTTGAAATGGAATTGCTCTAATTCAGTCTGCTGAACCACTTCTGCAGTACCTGTGTTTCTCTCAAATATAGAAGGGAAAAAATACAACAGAAAATCCCTCAAACGTTCTCATTTTCATATGACTGACATTTGTAGAGTCTCTTTTAGGCTAAAATGACATGGTTGGAAGCCTGTGCCGAATGGCAGTTGGCCATGTCCACAACATGTGAATATTTTCATTTGCTTTAATGTGGAATTCAGAACATGACCCAGTTGAATCCTTAAAAATGCCTATAAAATTCCTAAGTTTCTCCAAGAGACTCTTCCTTTGAAATGCTTGCATTCTTGGCCGGACGCAGTGGCTCATGCCTGTAATCCCAGCACTTTGGGAGGTTGAGGCAGGCGGATCATCTGAGGTCAGGAGTTCAAGACCAGCCTGGCCAACATGGTGAAACCCTGTCTTTGCTAATAAAAATTAGCTGGGTATGGTGGCACATGCCTGTAATCCCAGCTACTTGTGAAACTGAAGCAGGAGAATCGCTTGAACCCAGGAGGCAGAGGTTGCAGTGAGCTGAGATCATGCCATTGGACTCCAGCCTGGGCAACAAGAGTGAAACTCCATCTCAAAAAAAAATGCTTACATTCTTGTAGCCCAGCACCAAGCAACAAACAAATTATATCGTAAAGAAACTTCTACAATAGCAGCAACAGACATTTCCAAACAGGTGGATTGTTTTGAGTCCCACAGACCAGTGGCAAGTCACATCTATTTTTGCATTTATATATACACACATATATTTTAAATAAAAATAGAGATGGGGCTGGGTGTGGTGGCTCACATCTATAATCTCAGCACTTTTGCTGGAGGTGGAAGCAGGAAGATCGCTTGCGGCCAGGAGCTGAAGACCAGCCTGGGCATCATAGTGAGGAGACCCCATCTCTTAAAAAAGAAAAAAAAAAAAGAGAGAGAGAGAAAGAGATGACTGTGCATGGTGGCTGATGCCTGTAATCCCAGTACTTTGGAAGGCCAAGGTGGGCAGATCACCTGAGGTCAGGAGTTCAAGACCAGCCTGGCCAGGATGGTGAAACCCTGTCTCTACTAAAAATACAAAAATTAGCCTGGCGCAGTGGCTCACACCTCTAATCCCAGCACTCTGAGAGGCCGAGGCAGGTGGATCATGAGGTCAGGAGTTCAAGACCAGCCTGGCCAGGATGGTGAAACTCTGTCTCTACTAAAAATACAAAAATTAGCCGGCGTGGTGGTGGGTTCCTGAAAAACCCCAGCTACTCAGGAGGCTGAGGCAGAGAATTGCTTGAACCTGGGAGGTGGAGTTTGCAGTGAGCCGAGATCACGCCACTGTACTCCAGCCTGGGCGACAGAATGAGGCTTCATCTCAAAAAAATATACATATATACACGCAAAAATTAGTTGGCCATGGTGGTGCATGCCTGTAGTCCCAGCTGCTCAGGAGGCTGAGGAAGGAGAATTGCTTGAACCCAGAAGGTGGAGGTTACAGTGAGCTGAGATCGCACCATTGCACTCCAGCCTGGGCAACACAGTGAGACTGTGTCTCAAAAAAAAAAAAAAAAGAGAGAGAGAGAGAGAAGGCCTCATTCTGTTGCCCAGGCTGGTCTCCAACTCCTGGCCTCAAGCTGTCCTCTTGCCTCAGCCTCCCAAAGTGCTAAGATTATAGGTGTGAACCATTGCATCTGGGCATAAGTCTCACGTAAAAGTTCAGGCAGGCTGTGGCAGTGTGGCATAAAGCTGCAATTCCTGGATTGTTTTCATTGCTTTCTACCCAGAACATAAACTTTCTGGTAAACTTGAGTCCTGAAACACTCAGAATACCAACTTCCCTTCTCCAGTCCCAAAATAAACCCCAAACTCACAGGATTTAAGCAAGGCAGCAGTCAAAAAGGCCTCTATTTATGTCAAACAACTCACCGTCTCTGAGAATGAAGGTCAAGTGCTTCCAAAGTATTAACCAATTGCTTTTAAAAGTAGTAGTTGGCCAGGAGCGGTGGCTCACACCTGTAATCCCAGCACTTTGGGAGGCCGAGGCGGGTGGATAGAGTACGAGACCAGCCTGGCCAACATAGTGAAACCCCATCTCTACTAAAAACACAAATTAGCCAGGCATGATGGCGGGTGCCTGTAATCCCACCTACTCAGGAGGCTGAGGCAGGAGAATCACTTGAACCTGGGAGGTGGAGGTTGCAGTGAGCTGAGATGGCCGTCACTGCCCTCCAGCCTGGGCAACAAGAGCGAAACTCCAGCTCAAAAAAAAAAAAAAAAAGAAAGAAAGAAAGAAAAAAAAAGTAATAGTCAAAATGTCATAAGATGTTTTCTTTTCTAAACTAAAAGTAGTCCAAGATGAGCCAACTAAGAGGATTATCATGGAAAGTAAAATAAGCCAGGCACAGTGGCTCATGCCTATAATCCCAGCACTTTGGGAGGCTGAGGCAGGAGGGCTGCTTGAACCCAGGAGTTTGAGACCAGCCTGGGCAACAGTGGGAAACTCTGTCTCTACGAAAAATACAAAAATTGGCCGGGCTTGGTGGCTTATGCCTATAATCCCAGCACTTTGGAAGGCCAAGGCAGGTGGATCACCTGTGGTCAGGAGTTCGAGACCCACCTGACCAACATGGAGAAACCTCGTCTCTATTAAAAATACATAATTAGCCAGGCATGGTGGCACGTGCCTGTAGTCCCAGCTACTCGGAAGGCTGAGGCAGGAGAATCGCTTGAACCCAGGAGGTGGAGGTTGCGGTGAGCCGAGATCATGCCATTGCACTCCAGCCTGGGCAACAAGAGCTAAACTCCATCTCAATAAAAAAGAAAGAAAAATGCAACAATTAGCCAGGCACGGTGGCACATGTCTGTATTACCAGCTACTCAGGAGGCTGAAGTGGAAGGATCAACTGAGCCCAGGAGGCAGGGGTTGCAGTGAGCCAAGATCATGCCACTGCATGCCAGCCTGGGTGAAACAGTGAGACTCTGTCTCAAAATAATAAAGAAAAAGAAAAAAAAAGAACATAAAATATTTCTTCGAAGCAATTTTCGTGATGCTAGGATTAATTCCTATAACCAATGCCTGGGCTGCATGATGCAAACTTGGGCCACCCTGCACCTCATCCCCTTTCCCCTCCTTGATGGAATTTGGAGGCGACTGGTTAAAAACTCAAATTGATGGAGTTGAAGAGGGAAGGAAGAGGAGGGTATTCCAGGCACAGGATGGTCTCCCAGCCCCAGCATTGGGGCATGGTCTCTCCTGTGTTCTCCATTGAAGCACCCCTTCCACTTCCCACTTGAATCCCCCACTGACCCAAGGGCCCCGCAGGCAGGGCTTGTGGCACCTCTGGCACCCAGCACAGTGCCAGGCACAGGTGGGCTTATGAGGATCTGCCAAATGGGAGAGGAGTCCAGATACCCAGGAATGTGGCAGGGGGACACACAAGCAAAGACTCTGGTTATTCAAATATTTAATGGGAGTGAATTGACATCTTTGATTTCCTTTGAAATTGCATCACAAATAAGACAGACTGATATTAGCCATTAATTTCATTCTCTTTTTTTTTTTTTTGAGACAGTTTCACTGTTGCCCAGGCTGGAGTGCAGTGGCACAATCTCAGCTCACTGCATCCTCTGCCTCCTGGGTTCAAGCGCCTCTCTCATGCCTCAGCCTCTTGAGTAACTGGGATTACAGGCAAATGCCACTATGCCCAGTTAATTTTTTTTTTTTTTTGAGATGGGATCTCACTCTGTCACCCAGGCTGGAGGGCAGTGGCATGCATGATCTTGGCTCCCTGCAACCTCCACCTCTACCTCCCAGGTTCGAATGATTCACCTGCCTCAGCCTCTCCAGTAACTGGGATTACAGGTGTGCACCACCACGTCCAGCTAATTTCTGTACGTTTGGTAGAGACAGGGGTTTTACCATTTTAGCCAGCCTGGTCTTCAACTCCTGAGCTCAAGTGATCTGCCTGCTTCAGCTTCCCAAAGTGCTGTGATTACAGGCATGAGCCACTGTGCCCAGCCTTTAGCCATTACTTTCAATGGCAAAAACTGCAATTACCTTCAAACCAACCTAACAGACACAAGAATACACAGATGGACAAATATGTCAGGAAGCAATGCTGATAGTATGTTCTTGGAAGAAGTGAGTACACAGGGGTTTGCTAGAAAATTCTTAAAATTTTTTGAAAAGTTTGGAAATTTTCATAATAAAATGTTAGAGAAAAAACTTTAGCTATTCTTCCAAAGACATAACCTAAACTGGATACATGATTTAAGAAAAAAATACGCTATTAATAAAAGAGGATGTAAGTTTTAAATTTCAAAGCATATCCATGACAGACACTTCTGACGCTTCCCCTCCAGCTCTGAAACCACCCCGGTGCCCTGTGGAGGACCAGCACCAGGAAACACACATTCCATAGGTGACTCAAGGTTTCCAAATCCAGGGAGCTATTTTCCAACTGAGTTTCCCCTGGGGCCCACCTACTTTTTGAGAAGTCTCATGCCCACACTGAAAAAGCACGTAAACCCTTCTTTGAACTGTCTCAAAGTTATTTCTCCTTAAAAAGAAGCATTTCACTTAGGGTTTGGTTTTGTTTTTGTGTTTTTTGAGACAGGACTTCTTTCTGTTGCCATTACTGCAGTCTCGACCTCCCTGGCTCAAGTGATCTTCCCACCTCAGCCTTCTGAGTAGCTGGGACTACAGGTGTGCACCACCATGCCCGGCTAATTTTCCTATTTTTTGTAGAGATGGGGTTTCACTAAGTTGCCCAGGCTGGCCTTGAACTCCTGGGCTCAAGCGATCCCCCACCTCAGCCTCCTGAGGAGCTGGGATTACAGGCATGAGGCAAGAGGGGCATTTCTTTCATAGTTAGATCTCCATTTTTGGAGATGTATTGCAATTCTGAGGGATGGTGTTGTTGGCTTTCACCTTGCAGAAATCGATTCCAAAATTGAGTTATGGAGAATGATATGATAAAGTGCCTTCAAAATTGACCTAGGAGCCAGGCACAGTGGCTCACATCTGTAATCCCAGCACTTTGGGAGGCCAAGGCGGGCAGATTACTTGAGACCAGGAGTTCAAGACCAGCCTGGGCAACATGATGAAACCCTGTCTCTACAAAAATAATAATAATAATAATAATAATTAGCCAAGTGTGATGGTGCACACCTGCAATCCCAGCTACTCAGGTGGCTGAGGCACAAGATTCGCTTGAACCCAGGAGGTGGAGATTGCAGTGAGCTGAGATCTCGCCACTGCACTCCAACCTGGGTGAGAGAGGGAGACTCTGTGTCAAAAAAAAAAAAAAAAAAAAAAAAAGAAATACAACCTTAAAAGGAGACTGGTGTGTTACTTTGTTTTAATTTGGATTTTTCTGTTTCAGTTTGTCACCTCCAGCTAGGAAACAGACTGCAGTCCAACGTAAGTACAGTGCACAGAATCTCTGTGTGTGCATAGTGGCCTCCCCTTACAGGGTCAATTTTGGCCTTTGGCCTTAATCCCGAAGTATTTGCGTATGCTTTTTGTTCCTTGGCAAATAAATGAGAAAATAATTAGCCAACATTGGAAAGGTATTGTCCTAACAATGTCCTTAGGAAAATTATGGTGACTCACTAAAATATCCTTGCTCAATGTCTGTTCAGTTGAATTTAATAACATATCTTGCTAATGTTTGCATGTCTATGAAATGTGACTATGCGGAATTACTGAAAATTAACTATAAAATCCAAGGCATCTAACTTTTAAACTTATCTTGGTTCATCACATATATTTACACTAGATTTTATACTGTCTTCATTTGTTTTTTTTTTTTTTTTGTCTGTTTGTCTGTTTTGAGACAGAGTCTTGCTCTGTCAGCCGGGCTGGAGTACAGTAGTGTGATCTCGGCTCACTGAAATGTCCAGCTCCCGGGTTCAAGCAATTCTGTCTCAGCCTCTGAGAAGCCAGGATTACAAGTGTGCACCACCATGTCCGGCTATTTTTTTTATTTTTAGTAGAGACGGGGTTTCACCATGTTGGCCAGACTGGTCTCGAACTCCTGACCTCAGGTGATCCACATGCCTCAGCCTCCCAAAGTGTTGGGATTATGGGAGTGAGCCACTGTGCCCGGCCTCACAAATGCCTTTTTGTTCAACACTGCAGATATTTCCCAACAAATGGGCTCATCCCTTCCAGTCTAGCACCTCACTCAACCCCAAAGCTGATGGTTCTCTCACTTCCCAAAGTTGGGGCTGCCACACCCCAGTCTAGAACCCTATCTAGCCTCTGTGCAGATAGGGTTCGTACCCAGGTACCTCTTCATACCCTGGATGTATGAAGGATCTCTGGCTCAGAGGCTTCTGGAAGGTGTGCTGCTCCCACTTACTCTGTGTTCTGATAGACGCCCACTGAGATGTTCAGCCCCTCCAGCTCTTCCTTGAGCATCTGCAGGTCTGAGTTGACGAAGCTCAGCTCCAGCCGCACTTGCTCCCGCACCTTTGGGTTTGCGGCCACTCTGTTCAAAGAGAAGAGGGAGAGAAGTGCCCTCAGCCAGGTATCCCAGCTTCTGGGTGAGCAGACCCAATCCCCAGTCCCTGCAGGGAGGATCAGGGCACGGCTTGCAGAGGAGGGCCGGGAGTGTCGGGTAAGGTATCCCACGGACACAGAGCACCTGCCCAGCTTGCAGCACACCTGCCAGTACGTGGAGCTGGGGACACAGGCAATGACACTGTGAGCTGCAGACATGAACTCTATGACATCCTACAAAAACTCTGTCTTGAGAAGAGAAAACAAAACTGCTCCTAGCCATGCCCTAAAATACCGTAAGATATCCACTTGAAAAGAAATGAATGATTCGGGTCAGGCGTGGTGGTTCACATCTGTAATCCCAGCACTTTGGGAGGCCGAAGCAGGTGGATCAGCTGAGGTCAGGAGTTCGAGACCAGCCTAGCCAACATATAGTGAAACTCTGTCTCTAATAAAAAACACAAAAACTAGCTGGGTGTGGTGGCGCACGCTTGTAGTCCCAGCTATGCAGAAGGCTGAGGCTTGAACCTGGGAGATAGGGGTTGCAGTGAGCTGAGATTGTGCCACTGCACTCCAGCCTGGGCAACAGAGCAAGGCTCCCTCTCAAAAAAAAAAAAAAAAAAAAAAGAATGATTCCTTTCGGTAGGAGAAATCCAAATAAATAAATAAATAAACATAAAATTTGTTTTAAAAAAAGAAAGAAATGGATGATTAGCTGGGCATGGTGGTGCATGCCTATAGTCCCAGGCAGGAGGATCGCTTGAGTCCAGGAGGTTGATACTGCAGTGAACTATGATCACACCACCGCAATCCAGCCTGGGTGACAGGGCAAGACACTGTCTCTAAAAACTAAAATAAGATAATATGAAATTATATATATATATATATATGATAGTAAAATAAAATAAATGAATGAGAAAATGAAGGGAGAGGTAATGCTTCCCAATTCATTCTGTAAACTAGTATTAGCAACCCAAGCCTAGCAACATATAAATAGGATTATACACCATAACTAAGTGGGATTTATCCCAGGAATGCAAGGTAGGTTTAACATCTGAAAATCAATATAATATATTATATTAACAGAATAAAGGACAAAAAACACATGGTGACTTCAACAGATATTGGAAAAACTATATGACAAAATCCATCACAGATTCATAATAAAAATTCTCAACAAAGTAGAAATAAAAGAGAATTTATGAAATCTGATAAAAGACACCTATAAAAACCCACAGTTAACATCACACTTTGTGGTGAATGACTGCTTTCCTCTTCTCACCACAAACAAGGCAAAGATGCCCACTTTTGCTATTTCTAATCAATGAGGCAAATAAAGAAATTAAAGGCATCCAGATTAGAAAGGAAAAAATAAAACTGTCTTTATTTACAGATGGCATTATCTTATATATAGAAAATCCTAAGGCATCCATAAAATAAATATTAGTACTAATAAATTTAGCAAGGTCACAGGGTATAATCAATATACAAAAATCAATTCTTTTTTTTTTTTCTCTAGACAGGGTATCACTCTGTCACCTAGGCTGGAGTGCAATGCCACCATTATGGCTTACTACAGCCTCAACTTCCCAGGCTGAAGCCATCCTCCAGCCTCAGCCTCCCAAGGAGCTGGAACTACAGGTGCACACCACCACGCTGGCTGATTTTTGTATTTTTTTTGTAGAGATGGAGTCTCACTATGTTGCCCAGGCTGGCCCAGAAATCCTGGGCTCAAGCAATCTTCCTGCCTCAGCCTCCCAAAGTGCTGAGATTACAGGCATGAGCCACTGTGCCTGGCCAATTCAATTTCTATATAATAGCACTGAACAATCTTGAAACTGAGAAAACCATTCCATTCACAATAGCATCAAAAAGAATAAAATACTCAGGAATAAACAAAAGAATCACAAGACATGTAAACTGAAAACTACAAAACAATGCTGAGATATATTAAAAGAAGAGCTATTCCATGTTTACGGATGGGAAGGCTCATTATTGTCAAGATGTCAAGCCTCCTTAGTTGGTACATTCATTCAATGCAACCTCAATCAAAATCCCAGTAACCTTTTTAATAAAACTCGGCAAGCTGAATGGAAATGCAAAAAAAAAACCTACAATAGGCAAAATAATTTTGAAAAATAAGAACAGAGTTGGAAAACATATTGATTTTAAAATTTACTAAGAAGCTGGGCTGGGCATGGTGGCTCATGTCTGTAATCCTAGCACTTTGGGAGGCTGAGGCGGGTAGATCACCTGAGGTCAGGAGTTCGAGACCAGCCTAGTCAACACAGTGAAACCCCATCTCTACTAAAAATACAAAAAAATTAGCCAGGTGTGGTGGCAGACGCATATAATCCCAGCTACTCGCGAGCCTGATGCAGGAGAATCACTTGAACCTGGAAGGCAGAGGTTGCAGTGAGCCAAGATCACACCACTGCACTCCAGCCTGGGCAACAAGAGAGAAACTCCATCCCCAAAAAGAATAAAAAATAAAAAATAAACTTACTAAGAAGCCATAGTCATCAAGATAGCATGGTACTGACATAAAAATAGGCAATTAAACAGAATAAGAGTCCAGGAATAGGCCAGGTGTGGTAGCTCATGCCTGTAATCCCAGGACTTTGGGAGGCCAAGACGGATGGATCACGAGGTCAGGAGATCGAGACCATCCGGGCTGACATGGTGAAACCCCGTCTCTACTAAAAATACAAAAAAAAAAATTGTATTTTTAGTAGAGCGTGGTGGCGGGTGTGGTGGTGGGCACCTGTAGTCCCAGCTACTCAGGAGGCTGAGGCAGGAGAATGGTGTGAATCCAGGAGGCGGAGCTTGCAGTGAGCTGAGATTGCACCACTGCACTCCAGCCTGGGTGATAGAGCGAGACTCCATCTCATGAAAAAAACAACAAAAGAGTCCAGGAATAAATGTTTACATTCATGTAGCAAATCTTTACAATTGATTTTGAACAAAAGTGCCAAATCAATTCAATGTGGAAAAGATTATTGTTTCAACAAATAGTGCTAAAGCAAGTTGACATCCATAGGTACGTCAGGGTCCCTAAAACCACCCCCAAGTTCAGTGTTAATCTAGGAGGACTTGCAAAAGTCATGGCTACGGTTTACTACAGCAAAAGACACAAAGCATAATGAGCAAAGGGAAAGGCATATGGGGTGAAATTGGGAGGAGGCCCGGCCCAGGCTTTTAGGGGTCCTCTCCCAGTGGAATCCCACAGACCATGCTTAATTCTCCCATCAAGGAGTTGTGACAACACACGTAAAATGCCAAGAAAGCCCCCAGAAAGTTCCAATCAGGACTCAGGTCCCACCGGGAGGTCCCTCCCTAGCTGACTTCTTGGGCTCCCTCCCAAAGCGGGCAGAAGGGTCTGGGTGAGGGACCTGAGCCTGGTTTTCACTTTCCTAAGCCCGAGGGTCCTGTTCCTGGCACAAGGCCTTGAGGACGCTTGGGAAGCCAGCCTTCAGGTCCCGCTGTTTTGTTATTTTGCCAAAGTATGTCCCGTCCGTAAGTTTGCCCCCTCGGGTCACTTTCTTCACCTTATCAGCAGGGCCCATCATTCCTGCTGCTTTCCAACAAGATGCCAGAGCATATTTTTAGACCAATGAAGTCGGTGGGACAGTGGGTGGGACCCAGAGAGTGACGGACAGTGAGTCGGCCTGGAGGGTGGGAAGGCAAAGTGAGTTCCGCTCCTGGGACGGGGCTGGGAGGGGACATGGAATGGTCTGTCAGCTATGAGTTTGTGGAAGGCAGAGTCGGTGACTTTCAGCTGACCTGCCTCGGTCTGGAAGATTCCAGTAGAGAAAGGGAGGGCCAGGGGCCTGGAGGCTGGTTCCAGGCCTGGGTGCTGGGCCTGAGAGCATTTCCAAAGCACTGAGCCTGGGACTGAAGGTAATTCACCATGAGCGCTCAGCTGGGGAGGACTGTCTGTGTGCTTCCCCCACCTCCCAGTCCCTCAACTCACCCCCAGTCCCCCCACCTGCCTTAACTCAGGAAAAAGGCCTCCCTCATGAGCACTGGCAGCTGCCTTTGGTGGCATGTCACAGTCACACCCCAGGACACAACACAGAATCTCAGGCTGGCAGGGGACATTTGAGATCAGCCAGCCCAGCCTCTCATTTTACAGCTGGGAATGGGCACAGGATGGCCATGGCTGCCCAAGGTCACAGAGCCTGGGAGGGAGAAGCAGGCACAGTGGAAAAAGTAAGGTCAGGTGAGCCAGGTCTGGGCACTGGGTCCAGGCCTGCCACTCCCCTGCATGCGGCTCAGGGCGATGGCTCAGCCTCTCAGCCTCAGGTCCACAGCCGAAGCAGGCAGAGCAACAGCTGTTTGAGGGGCTGCCTGGGGAGGAGTGGGGCTGGGTGTCCTGTGCGCACAGCGGACACTTCATCAGCCACTCTGTAGGCAGCCAAGCCAGGAGGGCCCTCTGGGCACCTGGGCCTCTCCGCAGGAAGAGGAGCAGGGACCCACTATCCTTTGGGTCAATGAAGGCCTTAAGCAATGGGCTCGAAAATCCCTGATTAGTGACTACCTTCTGTTGCTAGGCAAGATGGGGACAAATACGGGGTCCAGTTCTCCAGCTGTTAAACATCTGTCTCATCAAGAAGATGGGACAGCACATGGAAAATAAATTTCTATGGTTATAATAACTGTCCCAGATTCTCTGTGCAGTAATGGCCGACCTGCTTTCCCTCTTAAAACAAGCAAGAATTTTGGATAAAATAATAACAAAATTACGTTAAAAGCATCAAAGGGCTGCTAAGCTAGTAGGAAACCTCCAGGCCAAGTTTCAGGGGAAAATCAAGAACCTAGGGAGGAGCGCTGGGGCCATTGTTGCCTGTGAGCATTTGCCAACCTGGCAAGTTGGGCTTCGACCTTGGAGGGAGTAGGGGGGTAGACAGAGGTCAAGGTATGAGGAGGCTGATAGGGGATTCACCCCCATATCAAGCTGGGAGCCTGAAAGGCCTCACCTTGGGTGAAGACAGAAGAAGAGATAACCCTGGCCCCTGCCCCCAAACAAGGAATTCATTAGCATTAAAAGGAGTGGGAGGGAAAAAGGAAAGGAAACTCACAGATTCAACCACAAAGAGCCTCTGGCCTCCTGCGGACTTGGACCGCTCACCCATCACAACTGGGAGGCCCGGGGATGGTGGGGCTTCTGTGCACTTGGTTCCAGGTGGTCTGGGCTGTCCATGTGAAAGCAAACACCATCCTCGTGAGAAGGAACCTCTGTCTTTGGCCTCACGGAAACCCCACAGACACCCTTCCAAGGGCCCCAAGAAGCACACAAAGATATCCAAGTCTGAAAGGGAAGAAGGCACCATGAGTAAGAACCAGCAGACAAGCTAGCAGACACCCGCACAGTCTCCCCATATTATTATACAATTACCAAACAAGACACTACGGTACATTTCAAACCATAATAGGAGAGATGGCCCATGTTCGGTGGCCAAGCATAGCACAGAGCTCCTCACTCCTCCAGGAATTCCACTGAAGGGTGGCAAGTTCTGGAGTTCAAGCCACTGGGTAGGCAACAGGAGTGCAAGTGGCCACAGTTCAGGCGCTGTTGGGCAGAGCAGGGGAGGGGGCGCTCCCAAGGAGTCCACTGGGAGACGCAGGCAGGGGGCTTCTCAGGCAGCCTCACCAGCTTCCCTTCACACTGATCCCCTGTAAACGTGTGTCCAGCCTCGATGTAAGAGGAACAGGGAGAAATTGATTTGCTATTCATAAAATGTGCGCCTCTCTGCGCCTGCGCCCGCGCTGTGCGCCTTTGCGAGGGCGGAGCTGCGCTCTCCTCAGCACAGACCCAGATTGCATCGTGAGGGCGAGCTGAGTTCTCCTCTGCACAGACTTCGGAGATACAGCGAAGGCGGAGCAGTGTTTTCCTCAGCACAGACCCGGGCGGGCGGGCCGGGGGCACCGCGAGGGCGGAGCTGCGTTCTGCTCAGCACAGACCCGGGGTACACCTCGAAGGCAGAGCAGCTTTCTCCTCAGCACAGACCTTGGGGACACTGTCTCCCTTTGAGCAGAATAGGTGAATGAATGAATGAGTGTAATCACATGCCCTGCCTTTCCCTGTTTATCAAGCCTGGCATCACTTTAGAATCTCTTGTTAGGATTTATGATACCCAGGCTTTACCTCAGAAGCTGAGAGTGGCACTCAGGTATAAGCATGTTTTTCCAAGCTCCACAGGTATTCCATAGCGCAGCCATGTTTGAGACAGTGGGGTCTAAGAAACATGTAGAACTAATTAGAATCCTGAAGTGTCTGTGATAAAGGTAATAAGCTTTTTGTAAGATTACAGAGGACATAGGTTAAGTTGGAAAGCCTGAGTGTTGAGATTCCTAGGCTCAGGAATTTTAATTTAAGCAAAGTTAAATGTCTTAACTTGCAAAGACATGAATCTGTAGATTCCAGATTAATGGCAGGTGTGAATTGTACAATAGAAACTGATCTAGCCTACGTGCCTTCTTGGACTGGCAGACTATGTTAATCTTTTTATTTTATGACAAGTTCAACATTATTCCCTTTTGTACTGAATTTTAGATTACTGATTTTGGGCACTCCAAGATTTTGGGAGAGACCTCTCTCGTGAGAACCTTATGTGGAACCCCCACCTGCTTGGCTCCTGAAGTTCTTGTTTGTGTTGGACTGCTGGGTTTTAGGAGTTATTCTTTTTATCTGGTAAGAAATATTTTCATTGCTTCACAGACTGGTAGGAGGTGATTAGATGAAGTCACAAATGTGTCTTGCTCTGTTGTCCAGGCTGGCATGCAGTGGCTTGATCTTGGCTAACTGTAGCCTCTGCCTCCTGGGTCAAGTGATCCTCCCACCTCAGCCTCCCGAGTAGCTGGGACTACATGCGCACACCACCATGCCCAGCTAATTTTTCTATTTTTTGTAGTGATGGGGTTTTGCCATGTTGCCCAGGCTGGTCTTGAACTCCTGGGCTCAAGTGATCCTCTTCCCTCGGCCTCCCAAAGTACTGGGATTACAAGCATGAGCCATTGTGCCCAGCCTAGCTCACTTTTTGACCATTGATTTAAAGAAAAATCAGACTTTTCATTATGCTGAAAAAGAAATCTTTATATCTGAATGCCACTGAGAATGCCACTTGATTTCTTTTCCTTTCTCTCTCTACCATTATTAAGCCTTAGTGGGTATCCACCTTTCTCTGAGCATAGGACTCAAGTGTCACTGAAGGATCAGATCACCAGTGGAAAACACAACTTCATTCCTAAAGTCTGGGCAGAAATCTCAGAGAAAGGTATGAATATGAAAGGGTTAAGAATTTGTGGTATTCTAAAATGTGTGTGTCCTGTGGTGGGAGTTTCTCTCCAAATTCCATGGTGTTTTCTCCTGTCAATTCTGTTCTTATTTTCTATCGTTAGTTTCACACCATTTGAGAGGCACTGGAAATTATTAAGAGCATGCACTCAGGTCCTGGGTCTGCTACTACTTAGCTGTGTGGCCTTAGGCAAGTTATTTAACCTCTGTCTCCAATTTCTTTCTGTGTAAAGGGACCCTCAATAATCCCTACCTTAAAAGGTTTTTGAGGGTTAGGGATAATGTACACAAGTGCCTGGTACCTATTTTAATGAGCAAAATAAATGCACTTGTAACTTTTTAGTTACAAGGTTTCCTTTGAGTAAGCAAGCGTGTAAAAACTAGATGTCTTTAGTTACCTTATATTTTATAATTTATCCTGGCAACTTTAGTTCCCTGAAGAGAAAGTAGAAAATTAAATGTCAAATAACATAACATAGGTGATTGTGTTAAATGTCAGAATATTTAAGGAATAATAATGTTGTAATATACAGGCCAGCGTGCATTTGTTGCTTGCTGGAGTAGTCAAGTTTTATTTCTGACAAGTCTGCAGTTCCAGGGAGCCTCTCCCTGGCTGAGTAACTGTCACCCATCCATCTGTAGATGTCAGGGAGAGTTTGCTGTGCATCCCAGTTATCTTAGAATTGGGTAGAAGTTTAGCTTTAATTAGTTTGACCTCGAGTCTAGCAACAAGAGAGGGAACAGGCAACGAAGAGGTAGTGACTGATGTCCCAGCAGCAGGAGACAGGGAGTGTCATTGTCATTCCTGGTCTTCTCACAGTACTCTGAATACAGAGAATGAGGAAGATTAAGGGGCCCTGTCTGCTGACTCCCTGATGATCTCAGACCCTCTCTGCTCTTTCTGGATGGTGACCTGTTAATTCTGGCATACTGTTACTGATAATATATTTATACTTTTCACTGTGATTTGCCCAATTGTTGCTTTAGCTCTGGACCTTGTCAAGAAGTTGTTGGTAGTGGATCCAAAGGCATGTTTTACGACAGAAGAAGCCTTAAGACACCATGGTTTCAGGTGGGTGTGGGACAGTGCCTGCTAGCATAAAATACATGGGAAGCCCTGCTGCATGAGAGACATGAGACAGAGGACAGAAACATATTTACTTTGTTGAATCTGTTTAATTGTTTTAATGTATTGGGGGAGTATCTTGGCAGATGGGTTACAACCTGTTTTTTTTTTCCTTTTTTGAGACAGGTTCTCATTCTGTCTCCCTGGCTGGAGTGCAGTGGCACAATCTCAGCTCACTGCAACCTCTGCCCCCCGGGTTCAAGTGATC